>NC_000002.12:193853254-194156284 GCF_000001405.40 Homo sapiens
ATAAAGAGTGAAGATATATTTTTTAATGTGAGGCAATATATTATTATTTCTGTAAGTGGTTATTTCATCCATTTGCAAATCACTAAAATAAAGGTAAAATTAAAAATTCTCGGCAGCATTTCACTATAAAACAGAAATAGTGTTTACTTACCAACTGGGCTTGAGAGGTTAAGAAGGCCCAAGCCAACTCATATTAGGTGGCTATGTTTCCCATGATACCTGCCCCTGCTGTTTTTCCACATTATTTTAAACAGTTCTTTTATTAAACTCTCCTCAATTATACTGATTTGTGTCATATTGATACATGTCTTGCCTGCACTCTGATCAGAAATGGTAATTTATTTTTTCTAGGAGTACCCCTCAGAAGGACACCTTTGCAGTTCTGGGTTTGGGTTGCTCATAGATTTGAGAATTATTAAAATAATCCCTTTACTAGAGGAAAAGGGGCATGGGAATCTGA
Organism: Homo sapiens; assembly: GCF_000001405.40. NCBI lineage: Eukaryota > Metazoa > Chordata > Mammalia > Primates > Hominidae > Homo > Homo sapiens. The sequence continues at coordinate 193,853,715 of NC_000002.12, forward strand.
GGCCTGTGGTGGTATCATCATAAAAATTATCAAATTGTAGGTATGGGAGTAATGCAGGTGGAGGGAAAGGCAGGGTGACAACCACCGGTTTGGGATTTGGTCACTATGGCAACTGTAATGAATATAAGGATTGAAGAGTTCTGTATTATTCTTTGACATTCTTATGATTGTTTGGAAATTTACAAAAATTTTTCCCTCCCTATATTGACATAATTTGACATAGTCTTCAGTGTAACTTCACATCAACTCCTATTAAAAGATTGGATTCATTTTTCTTGACTTTGAAGTGGCACTTGCCTAATGAACATATTGAGTGTTCAACTCAAAGTGGGAAAATCAGAGGTTCTCAAAGAAAGGTTTGAAGGAGCCCATCCTTCCTGTAGTTGAGGACAGATATGGCTAAGGATTGACTCAAGGACTTGATCATATGGGCTAAAGAGATATAGAACCAATGAATTGATCCTTCCCACCAGGCATCTTATATTAGGATAAGGAAACTGATGCAAAAGCACTGGTACCCTAAGATTTGGAATGGGAACTCTGGGATGGTACAGACAACAATGAGAAACATGTATCGTCTTATCTCTTTCAACTTTGCTTGCCATGCATAGGCAACCTTTCCCATCTACAAAAAAAACAAAACAAAAAAACAAAAAACAAAAAAAAAGAAGGCTCAGGTTTTGTTGAGTAAAAACAGTTTCAATGATTAAAACAGAAACCATTGCCTCAAAAAACAATACTCCTTGCTTATGAGCCCTCATAAGGCTTAGATCCTAACATAAAAAATGATGGAGAAATTTAAGGCTAGCACTGGAAGGAGACAGCCTGTGCAATTAAAATAATTATAGAATTATGTTGAGTTGCATCAGTAGGAGTACGTGAGACATAACATGGGAGTCAACCCTACTGGTGTTACACTAAGGAAGAAGTAGAAGATTTCATTGGGCCAAATTCAATGACGACCGTCACTTGTGACTTAATATGTTGCCTTGTGCTCCTATAGCTGTTTTAGATAGTGTGCTAGATTGGTTAATTGAAGCTTGTACTCAGTGGCACACTAAAGTGAATGAGGACTGATATGCTGGAAGAAAATTCTTTAACATCCTGAAAAAGAAAGGGTCCAAGAAGGATCTTTCAGTAAATGATGAAATAAATATGTTATATGCTTACTGCTCATGTGACCCTAACCATAATCAGTAGGGTCCCAGAAGGCATTCTCTTCACCAGGAAATTAAGATATGCATTGGTAAGGTGGGTGAGTCTAGCATCTTTGCAAAGCAATGCTTTACTTTATAGTCCGGATGACGATTAAAATGATAAAGTGCAATTTGTTTCTTTGCTCTCTGTGGGAATAGTGGATTCCCAGAAAGCTGGAAGACAAGTAAAATTACAATGTGCCACAAAAATGGACTAGTAATCAAAGCACTATGACACCTTGGGTAATCTGCAGTGATGCTGATTTTGATTATAAGTCACCAGAATTGATATAAATGAGTAGGCTAATCACAATATGCTTCATATATATAGGTGAAAAATTTCTAACTCTGATGAACAGAAACATAAATTGAATGATTAACGTGGAAATTCAAAACCTCTTACCAAACTGCTGGGCATTAGCCCTTTCTCATAAGTTGAACCTCTCTATTGAGTAGTAAAGATGCTGCAGTATGTACTTTGAATCTTCCCACAGACGTATCTGTGGTCACTTACTGGGGAAACAATCAATGGGAAAAGGGAAGTACACAGGCTTTCCTGGAATTACTAGATACCTTCAAAAGTGCTGCTATTCTCTGAAGGATGAAAATACCTCATGAGCCACAAATCACAGTGAAGCATGTGGTGATCAGATGACAGAAGGAACCTTGGCTTGAATTCACACTTATTTTCAAAGTTTTAGAATATTAAGTAAATATGGAAAAATTTAGATGCTGACATAAACCCCACATTGTTTCTATGACACATAGAATGAGAAAAATTATGGTAGGGAAGGCCATATGAAAGTACTTGGAATTGTTTGTATGCCTACCTTCTCATCAGCATGAAAGCCAAAATATTAATGTAAAATGATTAGTTGGAGAACATGCAAAAATCAGAAACTTACAAATATTAGTCACAAAAGTCAGGGAATACTGTTAGAATAATTGCAGATATTTAACAATTTAATCATGTAGTATGTCCAATTGAAGCTGAGGTTTTGAAGAAGCAAAGAAGGTGGAGGTTGCAGTGAGCCGAGATTGTGCTGCTGCACTCCAGCCTGGGTGACAGAGTGAGACTCAGTCTTGAAAAAAAAAAAATCCTGTAAACATGTCAAAACGGAACTTCTTTAAATATAAATGTCAATGAGTGGATAAAGATATTTGATATATATGTGATATATATCTCTCTCTATATATGATATATATCACATATATATAGTTATATATATATATGATGGAATACTACTCAGCCATAAAAAGGAATGAATTAATAGCATTTGCAGTGACCTGAATGAGATTAGAGACTATTATTCTAAGTGAAGTAACTCAGGAATGGAAAACCAAACATCATATGTTCTCAGCATAAGTGGAAACTAAGCTAGGAGGATGCAGAGGCATAAGAATGACACAATGGACTTTGGAGACTCAGGAGGAAAGTGTGGGAAGGGGGTGAGTGATAAAAGACTACAAACTGGGTGCAGTGTATACTGCTCCAAAATCTCACACATCACCACTAAAGAACTAACTCATGTAACCAAACACCACCTGTTCCCCAGTAACCTATGGGGGGGAAAAAAAAAGCTTATGACAAGCCCTGAAAATCATATGCGTACTCTTTCAGTTTTGGATATGTGCAAAACTTTTTCCTTTTAACAATATTTATGCAATTGAAAACAGCCTTTTTTCATCCTATAGTTTCTACTTGACTTATGATATCTGAACGTGGGACACCAAGTAACAGTGTAACCCAAAATATAAGTCATAAACTGAATGTTATCTGATACTAAATTATAAAGTAAGACGTGTTCATCAGTATTTTATTGTAAACAACAAATGCCAAATGCAAGACCTACCCTGATCAGTTCTGAAAAGCATTCATATGTTGAGACTCTTGAGGTAATTGATCTTACTGCTTCACCATCTTTTGTTCTATCCACAATTATATCCTCAAGAGAAATTCCCGATAACCATTAATAGAGGAAGAAAACGCATAGTCTTGGTTTGCATCTGACAAGTGTTCAACATTTATCTTACCACTTGGCTGTAAGTTTCTTGAAGACAGGAAAATTTTCAAAATTAAAATCTACACAATGCCAAAATCATGAATATCTTATTGTTTCTATTTATTAAACATGAGTTGAGTAGATGAAAAAATTTTACTCAGATATTACGTGATACATTTATCTAGTAAATTTAAATTTTCAGTTATTTTTCTTTTTAGCTTTATAATTTCTATTTGGTTCCATTTTATAATCAATATATATTTATTGATATTCTCTAATTGTTTATATATAGTTGTGATTTTCTTTAGTCTTTTGTTCATGGTTTACATCAGCTCATTGAGCAAATATGAGACAGTTTTAAACTCTATCTAGAAAATTCAATGTTTATGCTTCCTCGGGGATGATTTACGTCAATTTCTTGCTTTTTTTTTTTCTCTATGAATAGGCCATAGTTACATATTTCATTTTAGGTGTTTTGTAATTTTTTGTTGAGAACTCGACATTTTGAACATTTTAATGTGGTAACTCTAGAAATCGGTGCCCCCAAACCAGAGATTGCTGTTGGTAAGGATTATAGCCATCCATTATTATTGTTATTATCATTATTATTATTCATTTTGTTTTGTTTTGAGACACAGTCTTGCTCTGTTACCTAGGCTGGAGTGCAGTGGTGCTATTTCAGCTCACTGCAGCCTCTGCGTACAGGGTTCTAACCATTCCCCTGCCTCAGCCTCCCGAGTAGCTGGCATTACAGGTGCCCACCACCACACCCAGCCAAGTTGTGTGTTTTTTTTTTTTTTATGTATTTTTATTTTTAGCAGAGACGGGGTGTCACCATGTTGGACAGGCTGGTTTCAAACTCCTGACCTCAAGTGATCCAACTGTCTCAGCCTCCCAAAGTACTAGGATTACAAGCATGAGCCACCGCACCTAGCCTGTAGCCAACTATTATTTAGTGACTTTCCCAAACCATTTTGGCAAAAGCAATATTCCCTGTTTTGTCATTTCGTTATCTCCACGGTTGGCAGGTGACCTGACAGAAATTTCCTTAAATACCCGGATCCAATAAGAAAAGGGGTGGGAGGAAAAGTGTTCTGTCTCTTTAAATCATCTTGATGGAGACCGCAGGGGAAGCCACTTAAGTCCTGGGGGTTGAAATGAATGATCAGTGTCTCTGTTTTTGCCTAGTCCTCAGTGAACCACTAGGCAGATCAAAACACACAATCTCAATGTTTAGAGGACAAGTCTGCATTGCCCATCCTGGCTCTAGTAAGCCAGACCAGAAACAAAGGCCACAATCCCTACAGTTGTCTGCTATGGGGCTGTGGTGGGTGCAGAATGCTCAAATTCACTGAAATTTACCAGCCTCCCTCTCCCTATAGCACTCTCCCAGAAAGGAGGAGCGTTCAACTAGACTACGCAGTTCTGAAATACTTGACTCTTAAAGTGCTTGCCAGCTTAATAGTGTTTCCAAGAGGGGACCAATTCCCAGATCTTCCTATTCTACCATGTTCTAAGATGTCATTAAAATATTTTTTATCTTAGATTGTGTACATAGTACTATGTACTGAAATTAAAGTTTCTTTTGAACCAATAATCACTAAATTATTCTTTCAATGAAAACTTCATTTGAGCTTTCTATCAACATTCTTTAAAACTGTAATTTAAAAAAATCCAAATTCAGCAAAGAGAATGCAACTCACTTTTAAAATATTTAAATAAGCCCTGAACCATGGATACTTACAAGTAATAGCTGAATTGTTTGTTAAAATATAAAAGTTTCATTATTATAAAAGTTTTCAAATCATGATAGTAAAATTTATGACTTATACTTTGGAAAAAATTATATTATGTAACTAAAAAATCCATTTATTCCTATTGTTAAATTATTGCAGAGGATGTTAAGAAAATATCTCCTTCTAACCCATACAATGCTTGGATATAGATTATAATCAAATATACTTGCAAAACTTATTATTGTAGCATATAATTTCTTACACCAAATTTAGCCAAATTAAGATGGTTAACACTTTAAATTATAAAATACATTGAAATATGTATGAATTATTAATTTCAACAGAAAATAACTTATAAGCCATTTTTGTGTGTTCTACAATTACTTGTATCTAAATTGGCTAATGAGTAATTGGAAGACAATTGTAATGTACACAATAATAATTTCTATAAGAATAAACATTAGTGATTAAAAAGCCAGCTTTTAAATTCGAGAACTTTTTGTTGGAATCCCAGTTTTTCCACTTAGGGGTTACTAAAACTCTTTATATTTTTGTTTGTTTGTTTGTTTGTTTGTTTTTGAGATGGAGTCTCACTTTGTTGCCCAGGCTGGAGTGCAGTGGCGCAATCTTGGCTCACTGCGATCTCTGCCTCCCGGGTTCAAGCAATTCTCCTACCACAGCCTCCTCAGCAGCTGGAATTACAGGCACATGCCACCACTCTTAGCTAATTTTTGTATTTTTAGTAAAGACGGGGTTTCACCATGTTGGCCAGGCTGATCTCCAACTTCTGACCTCAAGTGATCCACCTGCCTCAGCCTCCCAAAGTGCTGGGATTACAGGCACTTACCAGCCACCCCATCTTGCCTCTATATTTCAGGTTATTTACTTGAAAAATACAGACAAAAATAATACCTGTTTCATAATTTTTTTTAATTTTAATTTTTGTGTGTACATATTAGGTGTGTATATTTATGGGATACACGAAATATTGTGATACAGTCATACAATATATAATCATCACATGAGGGTAAATGGGGTCTCCTTCACCTCAAGGATTTATCGATTTTTCTGTGTGTTACAAACAACCTAATTATATTCTTTTAGCTATTTTAAAATATATTTTAAAATTACTGTTGACTGTACTCACACTGTTGTGCTATTACTACTAGATCTTATTCATTCTATGTAATTATATAGTGCAGTGGAGCAATCTCAGCTCACTGCAAGCTCCGCCTCCTGGGTTCACCATTCTCCTGCCTCGGCCTCCCGAGTATCTGGGACTACAGGCGCCAGCCACCTCACCCGGCTAATTTTTTGTATTTTTAGTAGAGACAGGGTTTCACCGTGTTAGCGAGGGTGGTCTCGATCTCCTGACCTCGTGATCTACCTGCTTCGGCCTCCCAAAGTGCTGGAATTGCAGGCGTGAGCCACCGCGCCCCGCCCTCTGCTATATTTTTTTAACCATTAACCATCTACACTTCCTCCCTCCCACCCAAACTAGCCTTCCCAGACTCTGGTAACCATCATCTACTCAAGGCGACATATTAAAGAAAACAGAAAAAATAGCTGATATAACGAACATATAATAAGTATATATAATAACAATATTGCATCTTTATTTTTAATGTTTTATTTAATAAAAATTTGAAGCACAGAAAAATACAAAAAAGCATTATGTAATAACCACTGCTACATTCCTATCTAGTGTGAACAGATGTTATCATTTTTTCATATTGTATTAGATATCTGGTTTTGCAAAATAACAAGAGTGTTAAACACAAAGGAAACTCTTGAAGTTAGTGTGTATATAATGACAATGTGTCTTGTATGCTTTTGAATTTATTTATGTATATCTAAAATTAATAAAGACTATTGTTTATGATAGTTAAACGTTTAAGCAAAATATAGAATAAAAATATTCTTTTCCTTCTCTCTTAATTTAGTTCCTAAAAAAAAAGTTCAGTTAATAAAATAAAAAAGCAGCACTTGCCCAAATTATCATATATTATGAAATAGAAGAAAACAGATTAATGAAGTTTTGCTTTAACTACATATTCTTTTATGCAATTTGTATTTCATAAACCTTATAAATAGACATAAATCACAAGGGAACACTATGAGAACTTTTATTTTGACTCGTAATGAGAATTACTAAGTAAAGACTACATACTTATAATTAATATTCATTGAATTATGAAGTAAGGCTGTCTCTAAAATCTTAGAGGCACATAAAAACATGTTCAACATCATTAGACATTAGGGAAATGCAAATTAGAATCACAATGAGTTATTACAGTATTCATATTAGAGTTACTAAAATTTAAAAAATAATGATGATGCCAAATGCTGGCAAGAATGCAGAGAAACTATTGCTTACATTGCAAGTAGGAATGTAAAATGGCACAGCTGCTGTGGGAAATAGTTTGGCAATTTTTTATAAAATGAAATAAATACTTATCATATGACCAACAATAACATTCTTGGGCATTTATCTCAGAAAAATAAAACTTACATTTACATAAAAACTTGACCATGAAGATTCCTAACAGCTTTATTTTTAATAGTTCCAAATGAGAAACATCCCAAATGTCCTTCAATGGATGAATAAACAAACTCTGGTACATCCATATTATGAAATACTACTCAGCAATAAACAGCAATCAACTAACGATATACCTGACAACTTGAGTATTTTTCATGAGTATTATATTTAGTTAAAAACAACATCCAATCGCAAAGATTTCATATTATACAATTCCATTTACATGATGTTCTTGAAAGTATAAAACTATAGAAATGGAGAACAGATTAGCAATTTCCAAAGGACAAGGAAGGTGGTGAGTCAGGTGGGTACAACTACAAAATTGTAGCACATATAGTTCCTTTGTGGTGATAAAACATTTCTGTATTTTGACTGTGGTTGTCCCATAAATATATACATGGAATCAAATTAGACAGAACAATGTGCATACACACACACACACACACACAAATGAATACATGTAAAAACTGAGGTAAATAATGCCTGCAGTCTAATAAATGACATTATATCACTGTCAATTTTCTGGTTTTGATATTGAATTAGAACTGATACAATGTTACCATTAGGGGGAGCTGGATAAAGTGTTCACCAGACTCTATTTACTCTTTTTCAACTTCCAGAGGGTCCATTGCCAGTTTTTAAAAGTTTAACAATGTAATAAAAAATAAAGTATTAATTAGATATATCTCTGGAAAACTTAACAATGCCCCCCCAAAGATAATGACACCCTAATCCCCTGAAGCTGTGATATGTAATATGTCACCTTACATCGCAAAAGTGAGGTAACAGACTTCGTGATAGGGAGATTATCCTCGAATGTCTGGATGGGCAAAGTGTAATCATGAGTCATTAAAAGTGGGGACTTTTCTTATGTTGTAGTCAGGGAGACATAAGAAGGCACGAGAAGGAGAGAAAGATCAGAAAGATACATGACTGCTGGCTTTGAAAATAAATAAAGGAGAACATAAGCCAAGGAATAAGGACAGCCTTTAGATGCTGAAAAACTATAGGAAATGGATTTTTTGAGAGCCCCTCCAAAAGGAAAAAAGCCCTGCCAACAACTTGGTTTTAGCCTGGTAAGACCCATATCAAACTTCTGACCCACAGAACCATAATAATATACTTGTGTTGTTTTAAGCCATATTTCTGTGATTTTATTATAGCTGTCATATTGGAACATGAATACATTATATTAGAAAACCACCACATTGTATAATTGTATTAGAAAATGTATAGTAATGAATATTTTGTTTGGATGCTGATGCAGAGGTCAATAAAAGGTATTTTGGAGTTAATGGAGAAATAGTGGATATGGCATGGCTATCATATGTTATTAAAATTATTGTTAATTCTGCAGGTTGAGATAATGGTATTTTGGTTCATTTTAAAAAGAGGATCTATCTATTAGAGAATACTTATATGTGAAAATACATAATATTTGGATTTTATTTCAAGCATTCCAGTAAAAGAGAAAACAGATGGGGATGAGAAGAGATGGAAAAAGACTGGAACATATTGACAACTGTTAAATCTGAGAATGGATATATGAGTTATTAATTACATTATTCTTGTATTTGTATGTTTGAAAATGTCCTGAATATAATTTTAATGCCCAGTAATTTACATGGATAAATATTTGAGAATCTTTAGTTTAATATAATTCTATACTAACAAGCATATTGCTTTTTATTAAAAATATTTTAAAAGGTATAAGAATTTTTTTTTAAATTTCTAAGCTTTGGCATATATTGAAGATTTATCTTTAATGATTAACTCTCAAGTTCTACAAATGTCAGAAGCTGATTGAGATCTTAGCTGTTTTGTCTTGTCAGTATTAAAGTAAGGAAGGTTATTTTAAGGTGCTGGAGCTGTATTTTTAAATTGGTCATAAGTGTTCTGACAGTAAGGTTGCAGGGAAATCAAAAGATAATTTTGGAGAGGGGATGTCATTTCATTAGAATATTTATTTTCTTGATAATCTACCACTATAATTTGATTTTTTCCTAATGTGCTAGTCCCCTTTGGACACCTTACTCCTCAATCCTTCTGATTACATCTCAGTATTAGTCAGAATTGCAACCAACAGAAATCACTTTAGCTATTTTAAGCAGAAAGAGATGTAATGAAGGAAAATAAATATTTACCACGTTGTTGGGAGAGATGAAAGAGTAGCCTCAAATTTGGATCTGTAAGAAATAAAACTAAGATGACACTACAGAATTTGTCTGTATGGGGACCTCCTACTTCTGCCAATATTAGGAAGCTAACAAATCAAAACAAAATGATTCTATTTTGACACTAAAATAATGCAGAAAACTTGGAGACAAATTCTGGGAATGATTTGAAGTACCAAACTACTATGTCTATTTTACATCATTCTATTAGAAATAGACTTGAAAATGGAAAAATAAAGTTACGTTTCTTATATACCTGAGATTGTGGAGAATGATTTATATTGATAACACTTTAGAAATGTAATATCTGATGAAAAAAAGAAGAAATAATTATAAATTAAGGCAGCTTTTCAAGTTTTTAGTTTAAATCTTAACGTCTAATATCAGAAAGCTTCCTTCAAATATCAGTGATGATTCCATTGAATGGGGACATAAGACTGCATTATGGCAGGGGCTGTTGACCAAAGGAACATATTTATTTACCTTTTATCTAGGGATTTTGAGTCTGTCACTGCTGCACCTGTTGGCTCTAGAAATATGCTACATCTGATTGATTTTTATTTCTCAAACCTGAATGACTCGCACCTGCCCCTCAAAACTCAAGTAGGGAATGAAGATTAGACATTGTTATGGAAAAAAACAAGTTCTCTCCATGACTATAATTTCTATTAAAAATACACCAGTAGTAAAATTATCATCTTTATTTCCTACTATATAATTCATTACAATGTTGATTGATATTATAGTTATTTCTGAGACTTGTCACAAGAATTACAAAACTTTAATTGGGATTTATAAATTTACTGTGTTAATTTATTTTTGCCCCCAACCAGTATCTCAGCTGGTTATGGTTATTCACTTGGTGTATTGACCTGACACATCACTCTTGAGAAGTCCTTTGTAACTGTGACCTTTTGGGGTTTCCATAATATTACATTAATTTTTATCACTGCACATGGCACTTTGGTAGGCCATCTTTATTAAAATGCTTCCAAAAACTTTCCCTTCCAGTATTTAGACCCAGTGTAATTTCCTCCTCTGATTATTGGCTGGATTTAGTGAATCATTTCTAATAAATACAATATAGTAAAAGCTATAGCATGGTATATCGGAGATTAGGTTACCAAAAAACTGTGATGTCCAACTTGCTGGCTCTCTCCCTCATTCCTCCACTTGTTCTGTAGGAATTCGGTTGCCATATTGGTGGAGCCCTATGGAGAGGACAACAAGGTAAGGAAATTATGTCTCCAGTCAACATGCAGTGAGGATGTGAGGTCAGCCAATAAACACATGAGAGGCCTTGGAAGTAGATCTAACCATAGTGAAGTTTGAGAAAACTGTAGCCCCACCTGGAAGCTTGATACAGTTCTGTGAGTGACCCTGAGCCAGAGGACCCCTCTAAGCCACATCTGGATGCCTGACTTATAAAAATTGTGAGATAATAAATGTTTTTCTTTTAAGTCATCAAGTTTGGGGGCAAATTGTTACACAGTAATAAGCATCTAATATAGCACTATTACAGGACCTTTTGGGTTTCATTAGAGTCTCATTAACTTCTACAATACTATTTCCTCTTGATAAATAGTATCAATCATTGTACCTATAGTGGTACCTTACTTTTTGATCTGTCATTTAATGGAATAAGCCATAATGCAGTCTTATGTCCCCATTCAATGGAATCATCACTGATATTTGAAGGAAGCTTTCTGATATTAGACGTTAAGATTTAAACTAAAAACTTGAAAAGCTGCCTTAATTTATAATTATTTCTTCTTTTTTTCATCAGATATTACATTTCTAAAGTGTTATCAATATAAATCATTCTCCACAATCTCAGGTATATAAGAAACGTAACTTTATTTTTCCATTTTCAAGTCTAATTCTAATAGAATGATGTAAAATAGACATAGTAGTTTGGTACTTCAAATCATTCCCAGAATTTGTCTCCAAGTTTTCTGCATTATTTTAGTGTCAAAGCATTGGCCAGTGGAGGGATATTATTCTCTAATAATCTGTTTTGCCTAGGTATTAGTTGAACTATTCTTGGCCATTGAGTCCTAGACACTGGTTTTAACAAATTGCTATATCTCTCATTTTTAATCTCCTGACTACATTAGCTACTGAGACTTGGTGCAGTACTACATTTTGTTGCTGGCAGAAACTACCTTGTGTCATTCTGATTTGCTATGACTCCAGATGCTGATCAGATATAGAGCTTGTATAGAGCTATTACTCTTTAATGTAAGTCCTCACTTTCACCATACCTCTCTACTCTACTCCATTTTACTGCACACCTGTTTTCCCAATATGTTATAGACCAAGAAGTAGCTAGCAAGAGGTACAAGATCATTCTCTATATGACAAATCTGTTTTCTTTTTTAAAAAAACCTTTATTGACATACAATCCACATGCCATATTGTGAGCCCACTTAACATGCATGAATCAATAATTTTAATGTATTCAGATGTAACCTGCCATCACAGCAGTCAACTGTACAACATTTTCATCACCTCCAAAAGAAACCCATACCCTTTAGCCATTGCTCCTTTTTCTCTATATCCATTCCACCTTATGCAACAATTACTTTTCTCTCTCTAAATAATTGAAAATATTTTCTTAATTCTGTAAGTTATGGTTTCACTTTCCGAGTACTTTCCACTGAAGCACAGATACGTTTAATTTTGATGAAGTTCAATATATTTATTTTTTGTTACTTATGCCACTTGGTGTCATATCTAAGAATACATTGACAAATCCAAATTCGTGGGGATTTACCCCTACCCTTATATTTTGGTATATAAGTTTTATAATTTTTATTTTACATTTAGATTTTGTACCATTTTAAGTTTTTGATACAGTGTGAGGTAATAATCTCACTTCATTCTTTTGCAGGTGGCTTTCCTATTGCCCCAGTGTTATTTCTTAAAAAGACACTTTTTCCCTATTGAATGCTCTTGGCACCTTTGTCAAAAGTTGGTTGACACACAGTTTTATTTCCAGACTCTCAATTCTATTTTCTTAATCAATGTGTCTACCTAGCTTTTGTTCTTAATGTTGTTCCTCAGACCCATTCTCTAGCTTATGTTGTTATTCTCTGAAGAATTTAACATAATTTTCAGAAATTGACACACTTCTGGAAGAAAAGTAAGGGCTTCCTTTTTGCTCTATAATTATTTGAAATAATTAAGAATGCACTACCTGCTCTAGTGAGTCTGTGAACATGTGTGTGTGTGTGCATCTTTGTGTATCTGTGTCTGTGTGTGTTACATTGGGCAATGAGGAGCTAGACAAAGGAAAAATACCAACTGGAACTATTTCAAAAACAATACCTTGCCACATTATCTGTACATTTTTGTTTTATTTATTTCTTTATTTAGCTTAAGTGTTCTTTTCTTAAATGGCAAGAGAAGCAAAGCAAAGTTTAATTTGTCCTGATATATGTTTTCAGCTCTTTTAGAAAATGTAAAAAAAAAAAATATGTTGGCTGTTTCACTGGAAATGCACAAGGCTCAAGAGTGACATGCAGAAATACATGATTATTTTATCAGTTACTTTTGAAGAAATGACTTTCAGATTGAGGTGATGATCCTGGATCTAAGTCATAAATTAAACGCTTAAAAATACTGCCACTTTATATGGTTAAGGTCACATTTTGTGTAGGACATTTGAGGACTCAGAACCTTAAGGAATTGAGATTTGGGTCAACACACCTAAAAAAAAAAGAAAAGAAAAAAAAAAAAAGAAAAGGTGAAGTTTTGTCTGAAGGACCTTCTTTCTGGGCTGAGGAAGAAAGATGTAACAGATAACAATTATAATCTTAAGACCAATTACAGAAAACAGGGCTCTAGAAACTTTATATATTTTCTCTTTTCTTCTTATGTGTGTATATATTTGAGCATATCATAAATATTTTCTTATCTCTGTTTTCTGTATTAGTTCGTTTTCCTCTAAAGAACTACCTGAGACTGAGTAATTTATAAATCAAGGAGGTTTAATTGACTCAGAGTTGTGCATGGCTGGGAAGGCCTCAGGAAACTTGCAATTATGGTGGAAGGCAGAGAGGAAGCAGTAAGGCACATCTTACATGGCAGCAGGATGCGGGGAGTGCTACAACTTGAGAGCACCAGATCTCGTGAGAACTCACTATTACAAGAACAGCATGGGGAAAACTGCCGCCATGATTCAGTCACCTCCCACTGATGGCAGTGGCAGCCGTCTGGAGTGGCCTCTGTGATGACGACACTTGCAGGAGGCAAGGTACTGCTGCGGCTGCTTGCTCTGTGCATCTGGCAAGAGTTCCGAAGAGGTGAGAGCCCTACCCCCTACCGAGTTGACAGGCGGGAGCCCCACGTTTCTTCATGCAACAGCAGGGACTCAGCTGTGGTCCCGGAACCTGGGTATCTCTGTGCTCTTGGGGACCTGGTAAGTGCCCCCTACTCCTACAGGCTTGGAATTGCCTGCTCACTCTCCCTAGTCTCTCCCTGCTCCCTGCCCCCGGCACCAGCTCTGGTGCAGAACAAAGTTGTGGCCAAGCCCAGGTGTTGACATGACCCAGCCAGGTGTCCGCACACTCAGGGTGGTTCTGACATGCCAGCCCCCCTCCACCTTAGCCTTCTCTGAACTTGGGAACCCACGAGCACATGAGGAAGGCTGATGGGCACTAAGGGTAGATCAACACTGGCCTGTAGGTGCTCCTCTGCACGAACAGCCTGGGTGTCATGGATGGCATGTTAATGGCAGGAGGCAGACAGATTCCTGGGCAGAAAGGGGAGGGTCCCTGGTGAAACCCCACCTTCGAGCCAGGGACAGACTGAAGCCTGAGAGGTGGGCTGCCAGTTCTGGGTGGAGTCTGCAGCCTGAAGTGAGAACTTATGGTGCCTTTTCCAGGTCCACCCATGGCTGCCCATAGACCAATCAGCATGCACTTTCTCCTTTCTGAGCCCATAACATCCCCGGACTCAGCCAGACTCACCATCTGCGGGAAGGAGCTCCCCACTTTGGGTCTCCTCAGTTCTTCCAGATGAGTGTCCTGCAGAAAGGAGATACCCACTCTAGGTCTCCTCACTGCAGAGACCTGGATACTTAACAGGACGACCTGACTGTGGAAAGGAGTTACCCACTTTGGGTCTCCTGAGAGCTGTTCTGTCCCTCACCGAAGCTCCTCTGTGCCTTGCTCACCCTCCAGTTGTCTGCGTACCTCATTCCTCATTGATGTGGAACAAGAACTTGGGACAGGATGAATGGTGGGATTGAAAGAGTGGTAAACAAGCAGGGCTGAAACACACCACTCTGCTTGCCATGTTGTGGATGACAAGAAGGAGAGAATAGCTGCAGCCCTTCGGGAGGCCAGGCACAGGGACTCCCCAAGCCAGGGTTGTGACACCCTCTTTGGGCTCTGCAATTACTTGTGTCTCCAAGCTTCTAGGTTCCACTACGTTCCCCTAGTCCAGATGCGAGTGCCCACAGTGAAAGCCGCATGCAGTACATCTGGTCCAGCCACAGCCTTGCATGGAGCTGGCATCTGTGCTGGGGCCTGTAGCTGCCCGCCCCACCACAGCAACCAGTGTGCCTGGCTGTGCATAGTGGCTGAACCCGCGCTTACTCATGCACACTTCCCTCACTGCTCCATGCCTGACTCGCTGTTGGCAGGCGTGGGAGCTGGGCCAACAGTGTGAGCCAAGTGCAGCCTGCTGAGTCGAGTGGGCAGGAAAATCCCAGTGAGCGTGAGCAATATTCAGGCAGAAGGCACTGCCAGCCACAGAGGTTTCTGGCTGGTGAAATAACACCCCAAGGAGCCCATGACATCACCAGGTCTCTCTCTCAATATGTGGAGATTACAATTTGAGATGAGATTTGGGTGGGGACGCAGAGCCAAACCATATCATTCCTATTATTATTTTATATTAAACTTTTGAAGCTTACTTTACTATTTAGGTAGCAATGCATTTAGTGAGACTGTTCAAATCATTTGATGATAATTGATAAAATATCTTTGGAATTGTGTGCCTTCTCATTTCCAGAAAGTATTGGAAGTTTTTACTTGTACCATGGATAGCTACATCTTGTTACACGGAAACGGAGTGGTTTCATTTTTGTTTGGAAGCTTTAATGTATAAAAATCTTTATATGAAAGTGGAGTAAGCAAACGGGTATATTGGTCTATCAATTTATTACTTGCAGTACCAAATCTACTTCCCTTTTTCCTACTTTGTGAGATCAGAGCTAAACTCTTAATATTTTTCCTTTGCCACTTGGTACAAGTAGACTTTGTCAGTAGAGGAGGCCAGCGGGACACTGAAGCTCAAAGCAATGTATGCTCCTGGTTGCTTTATTTCCTCCTATGTTATGGGTACAAGGTGGAGGACCAGTGGTGCTCAGGTTTCAGTGCATCTACAGAATACCACTTCCTGTGAATCAGCTCGAGCACACTAGTACTTTCAAGTGATCTTCTTGGTCACATAGTGTACAGTTTCCATATACAAATATGGCTCACCTGAATCTTTTAACAAGTTTATCAGCCATACAGTGGCCACGCTTGCAAACTAGCTCCAATCTGCGCATTGTGAGAAATTTTTTTGCTATAGGTATGCTGCTGGCTCAGGTGGTAGCCCCACTGTCTCCAATAATGTCTGCTTCTCAGCCTGGGAAGAGTGTGCTGTTATATATTCTCAGTTTCTTCAATGTTTTCTCTTGCTCACCCCTAGAAATAAAAGCAAATTTCTACATTTCTATTTCTTTGTTCCTTGGATGTCTCATTCCCCTTTTTTAGTAGCTAATCATCTTTTACTAGTTAGTAATTATTTATAATAAAAACTTTTTTTGATCACTGATATGCTTTCTGTCTCTTGACTAGACCCTAACTGATATACCTACATTGAAATAAGTTGTAGGTTGCATAAAATTTGTTGAACATTTCTGCTTCAACACAAATTAAGATGAGCACAGTTGAACACAATAATTATTTTACAAAAGTATTATATCATCATCATAACAATTATAGAGGGACATTAAATATCCTGCAGAATCAAGTACTGACATAATATTTTATTTGTAGCTTTAAAAAAGGTAATATTTAAAAAAAACTTATTTGCTGAATGTTTACTCATGGTTAACATCTTTCTTGGTCAAAATTGAGGCACTGATTATTATTCTCTACCAAATAATTGTTTCATATAACTGTGATACAGATAACAAAACATGTTGACTTTTATCTCACATTCTCTGTTAATTATTATTTGCTTTTCCCCCATTTTTGAGTAGTAAATACTAAGTAAAGTGAATAAAAAAATTGACTCCAGATTCAATACATAATATCAGTACAAATAGCAAAGGTATTTGTCTGTAGGGTCACCCATCACCAAAATGATTCAATCAAAGTTATATATTTACTATGCAGTCTAGTTAAGATTGAAATTAGAAAAGGAGTTATTATTTCTACACAAATACTTATTTTGTGATTTGTCAAAAATTACCACATTCTTTGGATAACAAAACAGTAAACAGTGCAAAGGAATTGCTGTTGTTGTTGTTCTGTTGTCATAGCATTGAGATTTTTGATATGAGCATAAAGCTTCTCACACCAACATTAATCTCTTGAGTTATATACATTAGTATATATTTTGCTTGTGAGCAGTGATCATGTTTCTTTAGCCTTATTTATTTGCTGCTTTGCCATGTATATATATATGGATGGGCAACATTTGTCATTGCCTCCCTTAAAATAGATTCTGTTTCAAAAGCTTTAACATGGACTACATTAAAGTCTGATCAAGGTATGCTGAGACAAATCTGTGGATTTGGTTCTGTGTTGTATTGATGTTTGTTTTCTATGGCTGTTTATTTTCCAGTCATGTAGAAAGATTCCTAAGAGAATATATTCCAGATTGACTTTTTATGGGTCTTTAGTAGAATCTAGAATGCTATTTCAGGAGATCTTGTGGTTCATCTGCAGAAACATATCACCTAATTGAAGAGCCCCACTCCTTCTCCAATCATGGACATCTGCAAGTTTAAGATGGTGACCAAAGTCCTGCACAAAATCTTAAGTATGGTCCTAGAAACTCAGAACCTCTAAGCTTGCTAGTCTCTGAACCTAGAAATATCCATGATCAAGTTAATAGAAGATGGCACATTCTAGACAAAAATTTTGTGGAACTTTTAATAATACGATCATGCCTGCTAGTAACAAAAGTTAAAAAAAAATTATCAACAATATAACACATTGTGTGATTTAAAACAGAAGTTAGATTAAAGCATATATTAAAATTCAAGCTATATTCCCTTCTCACCCTTATACTGTGGTGAGAATTGTGCAAATAGACTTCTACCTGTCCTTTGATATTGAAGAAAATGAAATAATGCCACCCTCCCCCCAAATAAATGTTTTTGTTTTGTTTTGTTTTGTTTTTTTGACGGAGTCTCTGTCACCCAGGCTGGAGTGCAGTGGCATGATCTTTGCTCACTGCAACCTCCACCTCTGAGGTTCAAGCAATTCTCCTGCCTCAGCCTCCCGAGTAGCTGAGACTACAGGCGTACACCACCACACCGGCTAATTTTTTGTATTTTTAGTAGAGACGGGGTTTCACCATGTTAGGATTATCTCGATCTCCTGACCTCATGATCCGCCCATCTTGGCCTCCTAAAGTGCTGAGATTACAGGCATGAGCCACGGTTCCTGGCCCAAATAAAGCTTTTGAAAGAAAAGTTATAGCATTCACATGAGAGGGTTTTTTTTTTGAAAAATTGTATGCCAAATGTAAGGTTTATTCCATGGTGTAATTTGTAGATAATCTATATAGTACTAACAATATAATTGTACTTTTTTTAACTATAGTTCCTCTTTTGTTTTGTAAATTCATTATAAATTGTTTATCAATTATACTGTCATCATTAAAGAATGAGAAAGAAAACTCTCAAGAGCATTTTTAATTGTAATGATTTGATTAAACAAGAAGTGCTGTAAAGAAGGTAATGAATCAAGCCTAAACAGCAAAATGGAGTAACTCTTCCAGGATTTATATAAAAGTATTTATAGATATATTATGGTGTGCTTTGTAATTTATGAAAGTAAATTATAATAACACTTCAATCGATTTGTAAAAACATAAACAACAAAAGTAAAATATGTTTTTTCTTTTTTCTTTTTTTTCTTTTTTTTGAGATGGAGTCTTGCTCTATCCCCAGGCTAGAGTGC
This sequence comes from Homo sapiens, assembly GCF_000001405.40. Taxonomy (NCBI): domain Eukaryota; kingdom Metazoa; phylum Chordata; class Mammalia; order Primates; family Hominidae; genus Homo; species Homo sapiens. Next base: position 193,872,560 of record NC_000002.12, read on the forward strand.
AGGGGCACGATCTCGGCTCACTGCAACCTCTGCCTCCTGGGTTCAAGCAATTCCCCTGCCTCAGCCTCCTGAGTAGCTGGGACTACAGATGCACACCATCACGCCTGGCTAATTTTTCTTGTATTTTAGTAGAGACAGAGTTTCATCATGTTGGCCAGGATGGTCTTGATCTCCTGACGTGGTGATCTGCCCGCCTCAGCCTCCCAAAGTGCTGGGATTACAGGCAAGAACCACTGTGCCCAGCCATAGGATTTTTATTAATATAAATTCACATTTAATTGTTTTTAAACTTAATTGCACATTTGTTAGTGAATACATTTCACTTCACAGTAAAATGTCATCCAAATGCATTTATTTTACTTAATAAGGCTTAAGGAGAAGTTGAACAGAATGTATAATTTCCACATACCCCCTAACTCTCCTCACTATTTTTCTAATAATAACATCTGGTATTAATTTGGTGTACTTGTTATGATTGATGAGCCAGTATCAATGCATTATTGACTAATGTCCATAGTTTACATTAGGGTTCATTCTTTGTGTAGACAAATGAAGAATGACAAGTATCCTCATTAGAGTTTTATAGAGAATAGTTTGATCTAAATATGCATTGTGTTCCAACTGCCCATCCCTACCCTGGAACTCCTGACAACCAATGAATATTTTAGGATCTTCATACTTTTCCTTTTCCAGAATGTCATTTAGTTGGAAACATGCAATATATAGTCTTTTGAGACTGGCTTCTTTCACTAAGAAGTATGCATTTAATATTTCTCCTTTTTTTGTGGCTTAATAGCTTATTGTTTTTATTGAATAATAATATTCTATTCTATGGACAATATCACAGTTTGCTTATCCATACATCTATCTTGCTTGTTTCTAAGTTTTGGCAATTATGAATAAAATTGCCATAAATATTTTTGTGCTGGTTAGGTCTATGTTTTCAACCCCTTTGGGTAGATACCAAAGATAAAAATTGTAATCTCATATGGTGAGTGTATGTTTAGTTTTGAAAAAAATTGCCAGAATGTCTTCCAAAGTGGTTATATAATTTTGCATTCCCACCAGTAATGAATGACAATTCCTGTTGCTCCACCTCTCTCCAGTATTTGGTTTTGTTGATGTTTTGGATTTCAGCCATTCTCATGCATGTGTAGGTATCTAATTGTCTTAATTTGCAATTCCCTGCTGACGTCTGATATGGAGTATCTCATATGATTATTTGTTATTTCATGTCTTCTTTGGACAGATGTCTGCTCACATCTACTGCCAATTTTTAAATTGGGTTGTTTGCTATCTTTATGTTGACTTTTAAGACTTCTTTGTATATTTCAAATATCATTTTTGAGAAATATGTGCTTTATAAATATTTTCTCACAGTCTCTGGCTTGTCTTTTTAGTCTCCTGACAGTGCTTTTTGTAGAGCAGGTTTTTAATTTTAATAAAGTTCAATTTATAAAATTATTCTATAATAGATTATGCTTTTGATGTTGTATCTAAAATGTCATCATCAAACCCAAAGTTATCTAGATTTTCTCTTCTGTTATTTTCTAGGAGTTTTATAATTTTTCATTTTACATTTATATAATTGCAATTTAATTTTTGTGAATGGTATAAAGTCATGTCATTATTCATTTTTCTGCCTCTGAATTTCCATTGTTTCAGTACACTGTTTTGGAAAGACTATACTTAATTGAATTCCATTTGCTTCTTTTTTAAAAGCCAGTTAATTGTATTTGTGTGGGTGTATTTCAGGGAATATATCTGTTTCTTGATATATTTGTCTATTTTCTTGCCAATACCACAGTCTTCATTACCGTAATTCAAAAGTCTTGAAGTTAGGTAGTATCAGTTCTCCATCTTTGTTCTTCCCTGCAATATTACTGTGGTCATTCTAAGTCTTTTGCTTTTCCACATAAATGTTGGAAACATTTTGTCAGTATACAAAAAATAACTTATTTTCATTAAGATTTCAGTGAATCTAAAGATCGAGTTGGGAAAAACTGACATTTGATAATATTGAGTCTTCCTATCCATGTACTAAAATATTTCTCTATTTATTTAGATCTCTAATTTCTTGTGTCAGACTTTCAGTTTTCCTCATAACAATCTTGTACAAATTTGTTAGATTTATACCCACGTATTTCACTTTTGGGGGTGAAAATAGTTGTTAAGGGTTAAACAGCTTTAAGTTCTACAGTTTTCTCCATTGTAATAACTCATCTCATTTTCTGTACGCAACTAGAGTTACGTATTATCTAATGTAAATGGGATTATGTTTCTAATTTCAAATGCTAAGTGTTCACTGAAGATACATAAAAACACAACTGACTTTTGTATACATATCTTGTATCCTACAACCTATGATACAAGATTTAATTACTTACTAGTTTTGGCAGGGGCTTTACTTTTCTTTAATCTTTAAAAATTTTTTTTTATATATTCAAGCATGTCATCTGCAAATAAAGACAATATCTTTCTTTCCTATTTGTAGCTTTTATTTTATTTTCTCATTGCATTAACTAGAATTTCCAGTATAATGTTGAGTAAGGGTGAGGAGAACAGGCATTCTTGTCTTGTTATTTGTCTTAGCAGGGAAGTATCTAGTTTCTAATTATTAAGTATTACATTAGCTGTGGATTTTTATAGATTTTCATTATCAAGTTGACTAAGTTCTCCTCTATTTTTAGTTTGCTGACAGTTTTTCTTGTGAATTTGTTGGGTTTTTTTTCAAATGTTTTTTCTTACATTTATTGATATAATATTCTTGTAGAATTTGACCAGTTGATAGGATGTATTATATTAAATGATTTTGTAATATTAAACAAGCTTTATACACCTAAAATAAATCTTATTTTACCACAGTGTATAATCCTTTTATATTTTATTGTATTTGGTTTGCTAATATTTTGTTGAGGATTTTTACATCTATGTTCATTAGATGTATTGGTTTTTTGTTTGCTTGTCTTGTAATGTCTTTATCTGGTTTTGGTATTCGAGTAATGGTTATCTTACAGTAAAAGTCAGAATGTATTATTCTACTTATTTTTTCTGGAAAAGACTACAGACAATTGTAATTTCGTCCACAAATGTTTGCTGGAATTCACCAGTGAACTCATCTGAGTCTTGTACTTTCTGTTTTAGAAGGCCATTTTTTTTAATGGTTCATTTTATTTTTAATGGAAAAGGCTTATTTATATTATGTATATTTATATTATCTAGGTTGGTGCAAAACTAATTGGGGTTTTGTACTGTGAATTTTAAATCATAACTAGACTCAAATGCATCTTTATTAGTTAAAAGAGGAACCATTAAAATCAACATATTTTTTTCCAAGGAGAAATAAGTTTGTTTATTTCTGTAGCTTAAAACTCCATTCTTTGGAATTCAGTGAATTCTTGGAAAGCATTTTCTACATCCTGCTGGTTCTGGAAATATTTTCCCTACAAAAAGTTGTTGAGGGCCGGGCATGGTGGCTTATGCCTGTAATCCCAGCACTTTGGGAGTCTGAGGCGGGTGGATCACCTGATGTCAGGAGTTTGAGACTAGCCTAGCCAACATGGTGAAACCGCGTCTCTACTAATAATACAAAACTTAGCCGGGCCGTGGTAGTGCACACCTGTAATCGCAGCTACTCGGTTGGCTGAGGCAGGAGAATCGTTTGAACCTGGGAGGTGGAAGTTGCAGTGAGCCCAGAGTTGTCGAGTTGTCCAGATGCTCGAAGAAGTGGTAGTCAGTTGGCAAGATGTCAGGTGAATATGGTGGATGAGGCAAAGGATCAAACTGGCAGCCGACCAACAAGCAGTGTCCATGAACTTTGGTGCAAGTTTGGCTTTGGGAAGTGTTGTGGAGCTTCTTCTAGATCCAGCCACAGGGCTGGTCATCGCCAGTTGTTGTATAAAATCTACTTTTCATTTCACATCACGATCTGATGGAGAAATCGTTCATTGTTGTGTAGAATATGAGAAAACACTTCAAAACGACAATTATTTTTATTTTCACTCAGCTCATGAGACACCCACCTAATGCGCTTTTTCACCTTTCCAACTTGCTTCAAATGCTGAATGACCATAGAGTGGTCGACGTTGGGTACTTTGGCAACTTCTCCTGTAGTTAGTAGTAAAAGGATCAGCTTCAATGATTGCTCTCAATTGGTCATTGCTAACTTCCAATGGCCAGCCACTAAACTCCTAATCTTCAAGGTTCTCGTCTCCTTTGCAAAACTTCTTGAACCACCACTGAACTGTACATTCGTTAGCAATTCCTGGGCCAAATGTGTCGTTAATACTGTGAGTTGTCTCCGCTGCCTTACCACCCATTTTGAACTCAAATAAGAAAATTGCTCAAATTTGTTTTTTGTCTAACATCATTTCTATAATCTAAAATAAATATAAAATAAACAGAAAGTAATAAGTCGTTAAGAAAAAAATGAGAAATGCACGTTAAAATTATGTATAACATAACCACATTTATTTAAGAATGTATTCCAATATCAAAAGACAAATTTCAACAATGCAAAAACCGCAATTACTTTTGCACCAACCTGTTTCTCCTTTTGTGGGTTTCCACAGATTGTGTCTCAGAAATTGGTCCGTTTTGATAAATAAATAAATAAATAAATAAATAAATAAATAAAAAGAAATTGGTCCGTTTTATCTACCTTAGAAAATGTGTGGAGATCCAAATGATTTTTGTCCTTTAGTGTTTATACTTTTAGTGCTTATTTTTTTCTTTCTTATTTTTTCCTTTTTTCTTTTTTTTAAGTTCTTTTTTTTTTAATTATTATTATACTTTAAGTACAACGTGAAGGTTAGTTACATATGTATACATGTGCCATGCTGGTATGCTGCACCCAGTAACTCGTCTTTTAGCATTAGGTATATCTCCTAATGCTATCCCTCCCCGCTCCCCCCACCCCGCAACAGGCCCCGGTGTGTGATGTTCCCCTTCCTGTGTCCGTGTGTTCTCACTGTTCAATTCCCACCTATGAGTGAGAACATGCGGTGTTTGGTTTTTTTCCTTGGGATAGTTTGCTGAGAATGATGGTTTCCAGCTTCATCCATGTCCCTACAAAGGACATGAACTCATCATTTTTTATGGCTGCATAGTATTCCATGGTGTATATGTGCCACATTTTCTTAATCCAGTCTATCATTGTTGGACATTTGGGTTGGTTCCAGTCTTTGCTATTGTGAATAGTGCTGCAATAAACATACGTGTGCATGTGTCTTTACAGCAGCATGATTTATAATCCTTTGGGTATATACCCAGTAATGGGATGTCTGTGTCAAATGGTATTTCTAGTTCTAGATCCCTGAGGATTCGCCACACTGATTTCCACAATGGTTGAACTAGTTTACAGTCCCATCAACAGTGTAAAAGTGTTCCTATTCCTCCACATCCTCTCCAGCACCTGTTGTTTCCTGACTTTTTAATGATCACCATTCTAACTGGTGTGAGATGGTATCTCATTGTGGATTTGATTTGCATTTGTCTGATGGCCAATGATGATGAGCATTTTTTCATGTGTCTGTTGGCTGCATAAATGTCTTCTTTTGAGAAGTGTCTGTTCATGTCCTTTGCCCACTTTTTGATGGGGTTGTTTTTTTCTTGTAAATTTGTTTGAGTTCATTGTAGATTCTGGATATTAGCCCTTTGTCAGATGAGTAGATTGCAAAAATTTTCTCCCATTCTGTAGGTTGCCTGTTCACTCTGATGGTAGTTTCTTTTGCTGTGCAGAAGCTCTTTAGTTTAATTAGATCCCATTTGTCAATTTTGGCTTTTATGGCCATTGCTTTTGGTGTTTTAGACATGAAGTCCTTGCCCATGCCTATGTCCTGAATGGTAATGCCTAGGTTTTCTTCTAGGGTTTTTATGGTTTTAGGTCTAACATTTAAGTCTTTAATCCATCTTGAATTAATTTTTGTATAAGGTGTAAGGAAGGGATCCAGTTTCGGCTTTCTACGTATGGCTAGCCAGTTTTCCCAGCACCATTTATTAAATAGGGAATCCTTTCCCCATTGCTTGTTTTTCTCAGGTTTGTCAAAGATCAGATGGTTGTAGATATGTGGCATTATTTCTGAGGTCTCTGTTCTGTTCCATTAATCTATATCTCTGTTTTGGTACCAGTACCATGCTGTTTTGGTTACTGTAGCCTTGTAGTATAGTTTGAAGTCAGGTAGCGTGATGCCTCCAGCTTTATTCTTTTGGCTTAGGATTGTCTTGGCAATGCGGGCTCTTTTTTGGTTCCATATGAACTTTAAAGTAGTTTTCTCCAATTCTGTGAAGAAAGTCATTGGTAGCTTGATGGGGATGGCATTGAATCTATAAATTACCTTGGGCGGTATGGCCATTTTCACGATATTGATTCTTCCTACCCATGAGTATGGAATGTTCTTCCATTTGTTTGTATCCTCTTTTATTTCCTTGAGCAGTGGTTTGTAGTTTTCCTTGAAGAGGTCCTTCACGTCCCTTGTAAGTTGTATTCCTGGGTATTTTATTCTCTTTGAAGCAATTGTGAATGGGAGTTCACTCATGATTTGGCTCTCTGTTTGTTTGTTAATGGTGTATAAGAATGCTTGTGATTTTTGCACATTGATTTTGTATCCTGAGCTGGGCATGGTGGCTCACACCTGTAATGAGGATCAGGAGGATATTTTGAGCCCAGGAGTTTGAGACCAGCCTGGGCAACATAGTGAAATCTCATCTCTACAAAAAAATTTTACAAAAAAAAGTAGCTGAGCATGATAACACACACTTGTAGTCTCAGCTACTCAAGAGGCTTAGGTGATAGTATAGCCTGAGCCCAAGTTTGAGCCCATAGTGAGATATGATTGCACCACTGCACTCCAGAGTGGGTAACAGAGAAAGACCCCATTTGTAAAAATAAAAATATACAAGAATTGATTGTCTAATTATTAACACATTGATGTCTCATTTGTTCTGAAATCAAGTGGAAAGCAATATTTTGGATAATTGAATATGCTCTATATCCAAAGCCTAACTCTTTAAACTATGAAATTGTATCATTCCAGTTATGTTTAATTGAATTATGATTTTAAAAAAATGTGTACACATCTTTGTTTCTTGAAAAACTATGTGGTAAACATGTGTTGACTTTTGCTTTATTATGGCAGCACTATCATGGTGAATTTGGAATGAACTATTTAATAAGGAATAATCTGTGGTCTTCACTCAAACTTTTATTCTGTAGTTGGTGATTCTTCTGCTTTGTCATGGTGACTTAACCTGTTCCCCAGGGCTCTCTACTGTGATTGATAGCTCATCTCAGATCGTATACACAACTAGAGTTATGTATTACCAGCCCTCACTAATTTTTTTGGTGGTAACAAAAATGTTTGGTATTGAAGATGTCATTATGTCTTTGCAGAGAATAAATAAACTCTAGGTTTGAACTATGGTCAGTTTGGATTTTACTAGTAAGAAAATTTCACTGAATTTTAGAGTAGTCCCCAAAGCAGTAGAAATATTCATAGCTCTAAATGCCTTATTATTTTCAGCTTGCAAAATATTTAAATAAATATACAGACTGGAGGGTGTTTGAAGAAAAAATATCTACATTCTAATTACTTTTTAGTATCTTTATGAGTAAGCACTACATTATAAAATTGAAATTAGTTTCATTTATTATATTTCTTGTCATAGAAGTAAGATGAATGAAAATCAACCCATTATTTTCTTAAATGCTTTGAAATAGTCATCATCGGCAGAACTACCAAGTCCAACAGGCATAGCAAAGCATTATATGCTTAGATAGTTCACGTGGTTATTTGAAATGAAAATAAAACATTTTTGTCCTTGAAACTTAATGCAAATTTTAATATAATTATGGAGGAAGCTATACTAACCTTGATCAACTTATTTGCTTTAATAATGAAATATAATTACAAGCCTTAATGGCTCATACATAATAAACCCAAATAACTGACACTATTAATTAGAAATTCCTCTTAAAATATCTGAAATGGATTTTTGGTAAAATAATTGATAGTGGCAATAATGTTGTGAAATCACACAAACTTAAAATGACTTGTAACAAGGAATTTAAACAAGAATTTGATTTTACAGTGTTAGTTTATTACATTACAAATAATATAACTTTGCTGTAATATTACTTAACAGTGCTATGCATCTTGCTTATATGATAATTTTATATTAACCAAAGGATACTATTATTTGGCCATGTTAGGTAAAAGAGTATTTATAGAATATTTTAGCAAATATTTGGGCTTATTCATTTGATTTTAATGTAAAGCTTTGTGAAGAAAAGCAACATGTAGAACAGTTATGGGTGACTTTGAGAGTGAAGATAGAGGGTCTGACATAAAATTTCTACCCATGCCACTTCTAGGTGTAGGGCCTTGATCAATTAATGCAAGAGAAACCCAAGCTATATTGAGACTCCCTAAAAAATGGAGGGTCCTGTGAAGAGAAAGAGAGAACAAGCACCAAGCTGACAGATATGTGAGAAAAGGTGATATCTTGGGAGTGGATCTTAATCATTCCATCCCCAACCATTCCATATGGATTAGAGATGAAGCACCCAGACAAGTACATCTCCAAAAATGAAACTCAAAATTGTGAGCAAATTAAAATTGTTGTTTTAAGCAATTTAGTATTTAGGTACTTCAAAAGGCAGCAATAGATAATTAGAACTACTCTCACCCCCATGAACATCCTTGATGCATGAAATGACTTCATTAGAAAGGCCTCTGTACTCAGACCATGAATCAAAAATACTAAAAATTAAGTTTTAAATATCATGATTCCAAAAATAATAAGAGTGTATATTAATCTTAATTATACAATTTACCTGAGTATTACCCAGCATCTTATTGATGGGAGACTTTATTTCTCGAATTGACTGACAATTGAGTCAGTCAATTTTTGACTCTATGTACTTGGCTTTCTCTGAGATCAATTTCCTTCATTTAAATGTTTGCCTTTTGTAATGGCAACTTATAAATCACCATGATTTTAAGTACAAGGAATTATTAGAAATTGAAATAACGTTTCTATACTTGAAACTCAATGCAAGTTATTATGTAATTATGGAGGAAGCTATACCAACTTCTATCAAGTTAAATTATTTTCTTTAGTGATGAAATGTAATTATAACTCTTGATACACTCATACATAATAAACTTATTAATAGAAATTCTTATTAAGGATTTATGAAATAAATATTTGGTAAAATAATTGATAGTCACAATAATGTTGGGAAACAACACAAAATTAAAATGACTTAAAATATTTTTTAAGAGTGTGAATTTACAACATTGTAGAAAAACTACTCTTTGCGACAGTATATATTAGATATATTGAAACTGTTTATGCCAAGAAGTCACAACAAAAGGTTATGTGTTCATGATGAAGCAATTTATCACTTCAAGTAAGTATAAGGAAACTATCTTTGTAAAATTAACAGGGCTATTGTGAAATATAGCCTATTTGAGTTGCAAGATCCAGGCACAAAAAGGCAAATGTCCCACGTATAAACAAGTCATAACCAAGTACTTTTAACTTTTAAGGACTTGCATAGAATGGCAAATTTCCTTCCTACTTGTGTGGCCAAGACTTTCTGGAGATATTGTACTCCTGTGTGCTAACAAAGAAATGTCAGCCCCCAACTTCACACTGTTTTCAAAGGTAGTCCCAATGGAGTGGAAGAGGCCTTTTTTTAAATCCTTTTTGCTATTCATCAGGTAGAAGCAGTGGTGCTCATGCATGCTCTTTTCTTTTGTTGTTTCACCAGGAATCATTACCTGTTGCAGGAAGTATATAGGAAAATTAGGGACCTGACTTTTAGGTCAGAACACCAGGAAAGGGGACCCATAAAAATTTGAGAATGGGATAGATAGCAGAAGGGATAGAAATGGAAAAAGGGAGCCTTAAAATTGTTTTGCAACTCATCTTCAAGCTACATGTGCCTGATGATGGATGGAATCAAGCACCAAGTTTTTAGAACTGAACTACTATGGGCCAGGTGCGGTGGCTCATGCCTGTAATCCCAGCACTTTGGGAGGGTGAGGTGGGCAGATCACGAGGTCAGGAGATCGAGACCATCCCAGTTAACATGGTGAAAACCCGTCTCTACTACAAAAATACAAAAAAAAAAAAAAAAAAAAAAAAAGCCAGGCGTGGTGGCGGGTGCCTGTAGTCCCAGCTACTCGGGAGGCTGAGGTAGGAGAATGGCGTGAACCTGGGAGGTGGAGCTTGCAGTGAACCGAGATTGCACCACTGCACTGCAGCCTGGGCAACAGAGCAAGACTCTGCCTCAAAAAAAAAAAGAACTGAATTACTATGTTTACCACTGCCTTGGTCCCAGTATGGCTTTTGAAAAGTACATATGTGTATTTGTCCATTCTCACACTGCTATAAGGATACTACCCAAGACTGGGTAATTTATAAATAAAAGAGGTTCATTGACTCACAGTTCAACATGGCTGGGGAGGCCTCAGGAAACTTACAATTATGGTAGAAGGGGAAGAAACACATCTTACATGGCAGCAGATGAGAGAGAGCATACAAGAGCAGGGAAAACTGCCTTATAAAACCACCAGATCTTGTGAGAACTCACTATCACAAAAACAGCATGGAGGTAAAACAGCCCCATGATCCAATCACCTCCTACTGGGTCCCTCCCTCAACGTGTGGGGATTATGAGGATTACAATTCCAGATGACATTTGAGTGGGGTCACAGCCAACCATGTCAACATCTGTGCCCAACCAGGATAGCAATGCAAAGGATTTGAAAAACAACATTTGTGTGGGAACAATGTCCTCCAGAATTCAGGTCAGAACTTCAGGTGGACTGCCTTCTAAAACAAATAAAAACATATCAATATTCTCAGGAAGATTTTTATAGGTTCCATAGTCTCATAATATAGTGTTCAAAGTTGCCATGATACAATTCAAGCTATATGACTGACAAAGAACAAGGGAAACCTCAACAACTTGTAAGGAAAAAGCAAATCAACAAACACCACCAACAAGATAGCCTGTTCAATTATCAGACATAAATTCTAAAGCAATTATTACTGTCGTCTAACAAGTAAAGACTTTGGGGATGAGTCTGGGGGAAGAAACAGTAGATGTTCTTAGCAAAGAAATAAAAGTTATATAGAAGAATCAAATTAAAATTCTAGAACTGGAAAACAATAATGGGAACAAAAATTAACTAGGACAGAGAGAGTTGTCAGTAGAAAAATGGTGATGCTAGAGGAAAAAGTTGGTAAATCTGAAGATAGATCAATAGAAACTAAAATGAAAAACAGAGAAAGTAAAAATTAAGAATATAAAAGAAGTGACCTATAGACAATATCAAAGGTCAATATTTATGTTTTTAGAGTACCAGAAGGGGAGGGAAAAAATGGCTGCTGAAAAACATAAAGAAATAACAGTTGATACTCTCCAAATTTGATGAAAGACATAAATTCACAGATCCAAAAAGTTCAGTGTACTCCAAACAAATAAATCAAAGAAAACTAGATCCAGACCTGTTGTAATCAAATTACTAAAAACCAAAAAAAGAAAGGAAATATCTGATAGCATATAAAGGAAAACAAAAACATAATACATACAGATAAATAATTATTTAAATAAAGGTGAATTTTTCATCTGAAGCAATAGAGACCAGAAGAGAGTATCAAATTATATTTGAAGTTGAAAAAAATACCTGCCAATCCCAAATCTTTTGTTCAGAAAAAATATTCTTTAACAATAAAATTTTAAAAGTTAGTTATTTTATGAAGTACAACTAAGAATATTTTTTAATCATAAAATTTGCTTTTAAAAAAGTAAAAGAAAGCTTTTAATGTGGAAAAGAAATAATAGTAGAGGGAAACAAAATATGAGTAATGAAGAAAGAGCAACTTAAATGACATCTTTTTAAACATATTTGCATATATGTTTTATAATATAAATACTATATAAGTATCTTTGTATAATTGAAAAACTACTTACAAATAATTTATATTGACTTGAGTATCTGGTCAGGGAAGGTAGAGAAGAAACCAGAATTATTGATTTCTTTTTCAAGAAAAATATTACTTATCAGAGTAATGTTATTTCTCTTCATTACAAGCGAGTAGTCCTTTAGTTGAAACAAAAAATGTAGGTAACATACCCACTTAATAAAACATTTTTATAATTGAGAATATGGAACAGTATACTTTTAGGAGGAAAATGTGAATATATATTTTCGTACCTGCTTATTTGTTCTTAGCTGTTTTTTGGTTGCTTATATGACCGAAAACCAAAACATGAAGTAGAAAAATTGTTACTCATATAAGTGTACAGATTATTTTTATCTAATTTAAGAAAAACATATTGCCGTAACAAGAATTTATTTAAAACTTTTGAATCTCAACAAAGGGAAGACTTCTACAGTTGTAAAATGTATAATGGGAGGTTAGAACCAGAAATGTACAGGAGATTCCGATTCAAAATAGGGACAGAGGGCAGAGCAAGATGATGAAATAGAAGCCTATACTATTCATCCCTCACACTGGACACCAAATTTTAACAAGTATCTGCACACGGAAAAGCACTGCCACAGGAACCAAAAATCAGGTGGGCAATCACAGTACCCGGTTTTAACCTCATATCATGAAAAGAGGCATTGAGAAGGGCAGGAAAGAAAGTCTTGGTCTCCAATGACACCCCTACCCTATTCTCTAGGAGTTGCCTAGTGGCATAAAGTGGGAATCTGTGCACTTTGAAGAGGGAGAATAAAGTGACTGGTGGATTTTACACTGAACTCAGTACTGCCCTCAGCCAGTGAATACAACTGTGCTGGCCTCAGCCAGTGCTTGCACACAGAGGGAACATTTGGACCAGCCCTAGCCAGAGGGAAATCAACCATGCCAATGGTTGGAACTTGAGCTTCTCGGCAAGCCTCACCACTGTGGACTGAGGTGCTCTGGGGTTCTAGGTAAATTGAAAGACAGTCTAGGACACAAGGACTGTAATTTCTAGACAACTTGTAGTGTAGGCTGGGCTTAGAGCCAGTGAATGAGGGTGATATGTGACCTAGGGAGACACCAGCTGGCACAACTAAGGGAGTGTTTGTGCCATTCTTCCCCCAACCCCAGGCTGTGCAGCTCACAGCAACAAAGTGACTCCTTCCTTCTACTTAAAGAAAGGAGAGCAAAGAATAAAAATAACATTATTTTATATCTTGGATACCAGCTCAGCCACAGTAGGACAGGGCACCTGGCAGAGTCATGAGGCCCCCATTTCAGGATGTAGCTCCCTGGGAACATTTCTAGACACACTCTGAGCCAAAAGGGAATCTGCTACTTTGAAGGATAGGACTTAGTCCTGGCAGTATTCATCACCTGTTGACTAAATAGCTATTGGTCCCTGAATAACCAACCATGATACCCAGTGAGTATGCTATGGGTCTTGGGCACTGAAATGTTCCAGCTTCAGGGATGACCTAGCACATTCCAAACTGTGGTGGCTACAGTTAAATACTTCTGTTTAATAAAAGCAGAGGGAAAAGTAAAGGAGACTTTATCTTGCTCCCTAGGTACCAGCTCAGCCATGTAGGCTCTTGGCATCCCCAAATCCAGGTTGAGGCTCTTGAGCAGCATTTCTGGATCTACTCTGGGCCAGAGGAGAGCCCACTACCCTGAAGGGCAAGTGCCAGGTCAAGCAGCATTCACCATAAGCTCACTGAAGAGCCCTTGTCTTTAAGTGAACATTGATGGTGGCCTGGCAGAAGCCCTCATAGACTAGGGGTAGTGGTGGCCACAGGGAGAGGCTCCTCTGCCTATGGAAAGTGGGGAAGGGAGAGCAGGAAAAACTCTGTATTGTGATTTGAGTGCCAGCTTAGCCACAGCAGAAGATAATATCAAATAAATTGCTCAGGTTTTTGACTCCAATTTCCTCACTCCCAAACCGTATCTCTGGAAATGCCTGGGGCCTGGGGGAACTCACTATCCTGAAGGGAAGGGCCTTGAAGAAGGTCCAGTGCTACCCTGGCTTCAAGCCTAACCCAGGACCGTCCCAGTGGTGGTGGCCACAGGGGTGCTTTGCATCACCACCACCACTGCCCCCGCCCTCCCGGTTCCAGGTGGTTCAGTACAGAAAGACAGATTCCATTTGTTTAAAAGAAAGTAAGAGAAATGAACAAGAGTCCAGAGAATTCTTATTCAAGATCACCAAGGTGGTACCTGTAGGAGTCTCTCAAAACCACAGCATTGTTAAGCCTGGGACTCAAGTCCCTTTGAATAACTGGAAAGCCTTTCCAAGAAGGACAGGCATAAACAAGCTCAATCTGAAAACTACAATAATTACATAACTCTTCATTGCCCAGACACTGAGAAACATCTACGAGGATCAACAGCAATACAGGAAAATATGACACCATTAAATAAAATCAGTAAGACACCAGGGACCACTCTTGGAGAAATACACACATGTTATCTTTCAGATTGAGAATTCAAAATAGGTCTTTTGAGGAAACTCAAAGAACTTCAAGATAACACATAGAAGAAATGTAGAATTCTATGAGATACATTTAACAAAGAAATCAAAATAATTAAAAAGAATGAAGCAGAAATTCTAGCGTTGAAAAATGCAACCAAAATGCTGAGGAACACATCAGAGTCTCTTAATAACAGAATTGATTAAGCAGAAGAAAGAATTACTGAACTTGAAGTTAAGCAATTTAAAAATACAAAATCAGAGGAGACAACAGAAAGGAAAAAAAAAAAAACCAAAGAAGCAAACCTACAAGACCAAGAAATTAGCCTTAAAATGCCAGATCTAAGAGTTTTGACCTTTAAGAGGAGGTAAAGAAAAATACAGGTGTAGTAATATTATTCAAAAGGATAATAACAGAACTTCCCCAACCTAGTAAAGGATATCAACATCCAAGTACAACAAGGTTATAAAACACCAAGCAGATTTAACCCAAAGAAGACTACCTCAAGACATTTAATAATGAAATACCTAAAGGTTAAGAATAAAGAAAGAATCCTCAGAACAGCAAGAGAAAGGAAACAAATAACATACGAGGGAGCTCCACTACATCAGAGGCAGCAGAGTTTTCAGTGGAAACATTACAGGCCAGGGGAGTGGCATGACATATTTAAAGTGCTAAAGAAAATAGTCTTTTACCCTAGAATAGTATATCCAGAGAAAATAGCCTTTAAACATGAAGGAGAAATAAAGAACTTCACAGGCAAAAAAAAAGTTGAGGGACTTCATCAACACCAGAACTGTCCTGCAAGAAATGCTGAAGGGAGTTCTTCAATATGAAAGAATAGGATGTTAATGAGCAATAAGAAATATCTGAAGTTACAAAACTCACTGGTAAGAGTAAACACACAGAAAAACAGAAGAATAGTATAACAGTGTAACTATGTTATATAAACTTCTCTTGACTTAAGTAAAAACACTATATAATAAAACAATAAAAAATAACTACAACAAATTTTCAAGAAATAGACAATACCATAAGACATAAAGAGAGAAAACAGTTAAAAAGTGGAGATGAAGTTAAAGTTATTATTAGTTTTTTTTCTCCATGTTTGTGTTTGTTTAAACAATCAATGCTAAGGTGTTTTCAATTAAAAATAATGAGTTATAGCATTTGCAAGCCTTATGATAATTTCAAATAAAAAAATAAAATGGATACAGAAGAAATCAAAAACAAAAAACTAAAGCATAACACTGGAGATAATCACCTTCGCTAAAAGGAAAACAGGATGGAAGGAAAGAAGGAAGAGAAGATCATAACACAACCAGAGAATAACAAAATGACAGGAGTAAGTCTCTACTTATCAATAATAACCTTGACTTTACATTAACCAAATTCTCCAGTTAAAAGACATACAGTGCCCTAATGAATGAGAAAACAAGACTCCATGATCTATTGCCTATAAGACACACTTCATCTATAAAGATACACACAGACTGAAAATAAACAGACGGAAAAAGACATTCATGCCAATGGAAACCAAAAAAAAAAAAAAAAATAGCAGGAATAGCTATACTTACATGGGACGAAATAGATTTCATGACAAAAACTGTAAGCAGAAAAAAAGGAAGGTCATTATTTAATAATAAAGGGGTCAATTCAGCAATAATAGTTATACATTTTAAAATATGTAAATTACTTGAATTATTTGTAACACAAAGGATAAATGCTCAAGGCGATAGACACCCAATGTTCCATGATGTGTGCCTGTACCAACATATTTCATGTACCCCATAAACATATATACCCACTATGTACCCACAAAAATTAAAAATAAAAACAATTGAATAGAGACAAATAACGAAAAAACATATCTCATGTACCCCATAAATTTATTCACCCACTATATACCCTACGATGTAACCATAAAAATTAAAAATAAAAAAATTGAATAGGACAAATTTGAAACAAACTGAGGGCTTTAGTATTGTCTGGCTCTTGTTGTGCCAATTGGTTTCATTTTTTTACCTTTCTCAGGAAAAAATTAAAATAATATTTAGAAGAGAACTTTATAAACTAAATTTCTCTATGTCAAAATGTATTGTTATTACCATGCTCCTACATTCAGTTCAATTCTCTTTGTTTTTAAGTGGGAACTGCAGATGGGAAATAAAATTATTACATTGCTATATTGCAAAAGCATTTGCATTACAGCAACTAAGTTATAAAATAGTCACTAAAACTCTAGTTTAGTGTTTCCTTATGTGAAATAAAAATGCAAATTTTATATAGCATTAGTGAATTCAGGATAAATAAGTGCCTCTTTCTTTTCAGGGCTGTTTTTTTATTTAAAAAAATAAAATATTATTTTTAGTTACAAGCCAGGATGTGTATTTGACTTGATTAGTAGGCAACATAAATATTTCTTGCTTCAAATTCTAACTGGAATATTTAGAATAAGGTCTGATAATAAATATGGATCTGTTATTAAGTTTGACTTATACTACCAATGCTCATAATTCCAGTTATTTTCTCATTTTAAAAATTCTGTAATTAACATGTAATGTAAGTAATAGGTATTTAGTAAAAGTCTCATCATTTAAGCAGCCTGACTCCTCATAGGCCTGTTTAATTAAACCAATTAAATATCATAAATAAATATCTGTTTAGTTTTGTTGTTTTTAAGTAAATGAATTTATTAAAACTATTAGAAACTAAAATTAAATCCTATTAACTAATTATAAAAATAAAATTGACAAAATTTATATAGTCATTATTAATATGTGAGTAATTCATGTTTGTTCAAATGTTTGGGATTATATTTGGGCTGATTTTGATCTTTATAAGTGCCAGATTATATTACTATGCTTCTTTTCAGAACAATTATGAAAGTTGTCAGTGATGTTAAATCACTAAAGATTTCCAGCTCATAAGGAAATTGGTGTTATTCAGAGAGATATCAAAGGGAGGATGAGGGGCAGGTTTGAAGGGAATATTTTTGGAATAGTGCCTCTGGGGTGTTTGTGGGACCTACAGATGAATATATAAATGGAACAGTTGGAATTTTTGGTTGAGAATTTAGTAAAGATATTGCTGAAAATCAAGGATGTGGAAATGTAAGTATTAAGCTCAAACCTAGGAAGTGTACAGAGGGAAAATAACCTGTATTTATTTATCACTCAGAGTGTTAGTTTTGACAAACCAATATTGCCGTAAGTCTATAAACAGCGATTTTCAAGAAAGTTTTATTTTACAAGTACAATCAGCATTATGAAGTCAATAGAGAACGTTGAGGCATCATGGAAATAACAAGAGTGGAAAGTTCTTACAACACCTAGTTCTAAAAATTTCAGGGTTAGAGGTGGTCCGATAGTATTAGGGGCATGAAATAGATGTACCAGAATAGCATTGTAGTGAGTAGAGGGAGGGAACACTGACAGGAAGGCTGGGTGATGCAGAGTGGGGGTCAACCCCAGGAAGCAGAAAGTAGGGTAGAGAAGGATATGAAGAGGTTTAGAGTGGGGAACAAACTAACACCTGCATAGGTTCAGAATACACTCCTGCGGAATTCTAACATTTTTTAAAATGATGAACGATTAAAGAATGGCAATAAGCAATGGGGAAAAAAACTCCCTGTTCAATAACCGGTACTGGGGTAACTGGCTAGCCATATGCGGAAGATTGAAATTGGACCTTTACCTATCATCCATCTAAAGTTAATATACAAAAATTAACTTAAGAAGGATACAAAGCCTAAGAGCGAGACCTCAAACAATAAAAATCCTAGACAAAAACCTAGGAAATACTCTTCTGGACATCAGCCTTGACAAGAATCTATGGCTAGATAGTTTTTTTTTTTCTTGCAACAAAAACAAAAATTGACAAGTAGGACCCAGTTAAGCTAAAGATTTTCTGCACAGCAAAAGAAACTATCAACAGAATAAAAAAAAAAACAACCTACACAATGAGAAAAGATATTCAAAATCTATGCATCCAACAAAGATCTAATATCCAGAATATATAAAGAACTGAAATAAACAAGTAGAAAACAACTAACCCCATTACAATTGGCAAAGGACAGGAACTTACACTTCTCAAAAGAAGACATACATATGGTCAACAACCATGTGAAACAGTGCTCTTCATCTTTAATCATCAGAGAAATGCAAATCAAAACCACAATGAGATACCATCTCACACCAGTCAGAATGACTACCATTAAAAAGTCAAAAATAAGAGACGTGGTGGGGCTGCAGAGAAAAGAGAACAGTTATATACTGTTGGTGGGAACGTAAATGAGTGCAGCCACTGTGGAAAGCAGTTTGGAGATTTCTCAAAGAACTAAAAACAGAACTACTATTTTACTCAAGATTTCCATTGCTGGGTATATACCCAAAGGAAAATAAATATTCTACCAAGAAGGCTTGCACCCATATGTTCACTGCAGTACTATTCACAATAGCAAAAACTTGGCATCAATCTGGGTGCCCATCAACAGTGGATTGGATAAGGAACATGTGGTACATTTACTCCATGGCATACTATTCAGTCACACACACCCAAATGAAATTATGTCCTTTGCAGCAACATGGATGAAGTTGTAGTCCATTAGCCTAAGTGAGCTAATGGAGAAACAGAAAACCAAATACCACATTTTTCCATTCATACATGGAAGTTAAACATTGGGTACACATGAAAATAAAGATGGGAAAAATAAGATAACTACAGGAAGGGGAAGGAAAGGAGCGGGGCAAGTGTTGAAAAACTACTTATTGGGTTCTATGCTCACTACCTGGGTGTAGGACCCAATCATACTTCAACCTTTATCATCACACAATATACCTTTGTAACACAGCTGTACACATACCCCCTGAATCTAAAATAAAAATCAAAAAATAAAAAGAAGCCACTTACTATGGAGGTGGGAGGAAAACTAAAACATATTTTTTTTTCATAGTGAATAGAAAGAAACTTGTAAGCAGAAGAGAATCAGAAATAACATATGCTGAAGCAGGATCAATAACAATAAGAATTAGATGTTGCCTACAGGATTGAAAAACCATGAAAATAGTATATACTTCATTAAGAGTATTCATGGAGTAGTAAGGTTGAAACAGCTATGGTGGGAGGCGTGAATACAAGATGAGGAAATAGAAACAGTGGGTTTAGTCTCCTTTTTCATTAGTCTTAAGTGGGAAGATCAGGATAATGAGAAAGCAATGCATGAAAATAGAGAGGAGGAACTATGTTTACAATATGAGAGACCTGAATGTATTTATTTGTTGACAAGAAAGGACCAATGTAGAAGCAGTATATGCAATCTAAACATGGGGGTAATTATAAGTGGGGAGAGAATTATAAATGAGTGTTCCAAATACATTGAAACTTTATTGTGTAGAGACATAGCTTTGTAAGTTCAATTAAGTGCTAATTTAATTCAGCTAGTCTTTCGTTTTGTCCTTTTCATTACTTTATTTATTTTTAGAACAGAACTTCACAGTGTACAGTACAAAAATGAAGTGATAGGTTCATGATGTTAACAATCTTGTAAGAATAAAAGATATAATGTTTCTGAATTTCATAGTGAAGAGTTTATATTTTACTTTTTAAATAATGAAAATGTATTAAAATTTTAAACACATAAATGAATATTTTAGGTAAACCTGAGAGAATTTAAAAGGAAAGTGGAAAACATTGGTTTCTAGTACCTCATACAAAACTGATTGAAAAAAGTAGAAATATATGAACACCAACAGGAAAATATGGATAAGTCAAATGTTAGCTAGATGTCTCAAATTTTTGTTTTTTTTTTCTTTTTTTCTTTTCTGGATACAGGATATCTTGAAAAATCTCTAGCTACTTGGTAGAACTCAGTGAAGGAATACTCTGAAAGGCAGCACAAGTCCATCTATTTATAATCCTAGAACCCCAGGTTTGAATTGGAGTTTTTGTATTGTTTTCCTCTTCCCTTTACCCCAAAGTGTGTTGTACCATGATTGGAATTTTAAAAGAGCAGCAGTCTGGCAGACGAGATGGTAACACAGCCTGACTGTGTTATGTCTTTAAACTTTTAGTTTTCCAGGGAAAAGCTAAAAGTTCCATAACTGACTTTCTATCTTAGATATCAAAAACAATGGGATGCCATTAGTAAGGAGATAGGAAGATGTGTGGTTGATATGAGAGAAACTCTGTGTGGGTTATCACTATGGCTTAAGTAATCTATTAGTAAGATACAAGTATTTGTGTATAAAATATGCCAGGATTCTATCATATAGAATGGCTAGAAGACAGAGTCCATTTAAATTCTTCAAATCATCTTAAGCCACTCACTTATCACATGACATGACTAAATCCAATTTGTGTTTTAGAAAGGAAAAAAAAATAAATGGATGAAGATGAAGATAATACTTGAAGCAATGTAGTAAATGCCAAGGGTATGAACTAGGCAAGGAGAATGAAAATTTAGAACGAATATAAGACATATTTCTTGGTTAAAATCCACAAGATTTGGTAACAATTTTGATATGCAAATAAAAAGAAAGCTGATCAAAAGTGGAGGATATCTAAAAAATTTTAGTTCAGAAATTATCCAAAACAAAAAACACTGAACACTATCATGTTTATGAGAGAAAATATAATTTTCTCATTTTTAAAAATATACATTATACTTACTGAATATGCAAAATGTCCACTGACATTGCAAAGGAAGCAAAGAACTTCCAGGTCTAGAAGACAATAGTGATGAGACCATGTCAGTAATGGAGAGTAGGAAAACTATTACATTCATCTGTATTTGTATAATATAGCAACACATTTGAAATTTGCTAGACCTGCTGTAAAACACTATTAAAAAGAAATGCAATACCTGACATTCAGGAACTGGTCGTCTGGCAATATCAGCTGAGTCTTTCTTCTTTTTTTTTTTTTTTTTTTTTTGAGACAGGGTCTCCTCTGTCACCCAGGCTGGAGTGCAGTTGTAGTTGTGTGACCATGGCTCGCTTCAGCCTAAACTTCCTGGGCTCAGGTAATTCCTCTGCCTCTGTCTCCTAAGTAGCTTGGTGCACACCACAGGTGCACCCCACCATGCATGCCTGGCATTTTTTTTTTTTTTGTAGACAACAGGGTTTCACCATGTTGCCCAGGCTGGGGGCCTTTCTATTCTTCTGTAGAACATAAACTGTTTTACAGGACATTCATCAGATAAGATCACTTTGTGACCATGATGAATAGGGAAAAAACAAGACAGTTTTATACTCATATCTGAACACAGACCAGATACCATCATTGTCTAAACCACAAATTGCCCAAATTCCCCTTATCCTGACCAATCTGACTGATTTCTGCTTCTTTACCAGTTATAGCTTTAGCCTAGGTCTAGACTTTATTCATTTTATATAAGATTTGTTAAAGTACCCAAACATAGAATAATTCCTGCTTCCAGAGCAAAGTCCTACCTCCTTAAACGTTTCCCCAAATCACCTAACCTAAACCCAAATCTTATATAATTCCTTTCTAGCAACCTCTAACTGAGATGCCTTACAGTTCTTTATGGTGTGCATTCTCCTTTCAAGCAAAATGTACTAAATTCAATTTGTTCAACTGGTGTTCCCTGTGGTCTTTTTGGCTGAAGGAAATTGGGAAAACTGCAAAATCTTCCATGTCCTTCCATCCCTCATCCCTCCCACCATCCCACACAGAGTAAGAAAAAGCAAAAATGCAGTATTCTGGAGGAACAAAGGCATGAAGAAAAGTTCAAACAAAATTTTGGTTTCATAACTTGAAAATGGAAATTACAACTTAAGATATTTTAAAAAATTATTCTAGTAATTCTTAACTTTTTCTTTCTTATGGCTGAGGCTTCAAATATTTATCAAATTCTTAATATGTAGGTTGTTTAATCCTCAATATGTAGTAATATGTAGGTCCTTTAATCCTATGCTGGATCACTATTAAAATCTGTGTTCAGGGTATTTTGTTTCTGGAAATGTGATTAACTGCATTATTACAATCAAGTTATAGTTATAAATTATTATAAGCTCTTTCAGTTTTTACTCAATGGCCTAAAGAACTTTGTAATCAGTAAAAGTCTGATTGGGTTATTTCATCATATTATAATAGAACATGATCCTCTCTTCTTTCTGTAGTTCTAGCTTATTCTGCTATGACTCCTAGTTTGCCTTTCTTTGTAGTTTCCAACATGTGGCAGCTTAACATTTACATGTGAGAATGATGATGTTCAGCACCTCTTGCTCTTTCATGTCTGGCTGGTTAAGGGGAGTGTTATGTGGATTGATTTCCACTGGTACTCAGCCAGTCCCTTGTTTCCCATTTGCTCACTGACAGGTTTTATGAAGGACACTAAGCGCACAGTTGCCACTTCCTTTATGAGTTCATTTGTAATGTTGTACCATGTGCCTTTCCCAGTTTGAGCTTGTTTCCTGCTGTTTCTTTCTCTGGCAGCAAAGGTGAAGGTTATTTTATGACTGTGCAGATGATTGCCTCACACTTGGTACTGTCTATAAGGTCCCTTTGTACCTCATATAGCTTCTTGAAATATACTTTCCAGTGGTTTTAGATGTCTTCCTGTGCTGTTAGCACTTTGCCATCTGCTGTCCGGATGCCACTGCAGTCTTTCGGTAAAATTTAATGTTTACAGATCCCTTCGTAGTATTTACATCTACCCCTTGTTTCCAATATTTTTTACTACATTGATTGTTATCTTTTAATCTCTCACACTTGGGTTCTAATTTTTCCCAAGCCTTTTTCACCCCATTATAGAAAATTAACCATTTTGTTAAATGTGTCATGCTAACATAGTCAATGCTTTAGTAGATGATGTTCAAATGTATCACAAATATTTATTAAAATAAAAGTGATCATAAATTAAATCTACTGGTGTTAAAAGTTCATCTGTCTGTTAAAATTTTATAGACACCTCATAAGTAAATTCTATGCATCTAAGATGTCATGGTTTAAAAAAGTGTTTTCTTTATCAAATCTTGAATTCATCCCAGGGTTATGACACCAATTTGATGTTTGTTGTGGTTTTTATTTGGAATGATTTTTATGAGCACATAATATTGAATTTATCTAGATTTTTATGTGTTTAATTATTACATTATTATTTAAGAAACATAATTTTATACAAATCTTTGAATGTGATTATCACTTTATTTGCAGTTATTGTTCAAACTATAACTACTGACAGCTCCCTGGAATGTATTTAGACATTCCTGACACTTTCACAAAATGCAATCTATTGCTTTGAAATTGAAAAAAAAAATTCTGCTTCTGACAAGATGAATTTATGTTCTAGCCCTCCCAATATTGGAATTACACAAAATAAATATCTTTATGGCTTTTATTACCATCACCTTACACATTCTTCTTTTTTCACTAATACGAACCAGTTGTAATGGGGAAAATTCAAGGTCATAAATAAAAGTGATGTAGTGACACAAGTTACCAAACATTGTAGAAGTGCTTCAGAGAACCCAAGGGAAATTTTCTAAAAATACACTAAAAATTACAGTGATGACAAAACCATATGGCTTAAAATGATCATACATTTCACTATAAACTAATTTTATTGTTTTAAAAATGTATTAATTTATGAGAATCATTCTATTTACTTCACACTGTCCTATTTCTCCAAAATGAAGATTTTCTGTTCCTTTTGCTTACAGCAATGGTTACTGGACTCTTCTCTGTTATTCAAATGTGTAAAACAAATAGGAATATAGAAATGAGATACACAAGTCATTCTGAGGTGCTATACTTTGTATTAGTTTGGTTATCCTTTTCAAGGAACTCAAAACAAAAACAAAACCAGAAATAACTAGGCATCAAAACAAGGGCTGACAAATTACCATCTCTTCTCTCTGTCTCCACACACCTACAACTTCAGTTATAGGTGAATAAAAGTGCAAATAATATACAAATATATTATGTTTTTGTTAAGTTTTATTTTATAATTGCCTTGATTAATATTAGTATCTTTAAATGAAAGAACTAGAAGTATGTATTATCATTTGAAAACTTATAAAGTGTAACAGGATCTCTTTAGGTGTCCAGAGCTCTAAGCATTCTCCAACTAAAACAAGCTAATAAACTCAGGACCTCATTCCTCAGTGAATCAAGTAAACTTTTAGGTTTTTATTGTTTTTTCCCATTACTTTCTTCTCCCAAACAGTCATATGCTTTCATAAACATTCCAGGGGTTATAAGTATAAAGAGAGCAGTTCAAGTATAACTAAACAGTGGCAGTCAAAATAAAGCATCATTATAGAGTTTTAGATCAAATAATATCAATAATATTGCCTGATAATTAAGCATATGCTGGGAACATGAGCATTGTGTTAATTCTTGAATTTTAGTGAAGGACAGAAATAGCAGTCCTTGTGAAGTGAAAGTTTAAGTGAAACAAAGTTTCCATTTAGTCTGAAACAAATGACTATCTAGAGATTTAACAAAGTAAGAAAGTAACTTTGTGTGTCTTTCTGATAAGATAATTAAAGTAATTAAAACTACTAGCTAGTAGCAAATATTTTATTGATTCTTTTTATAAGGAATATTTAAGATGATTCATGTGCACCCAAAAAAGTCTCAGATTTAAGGGATGTTATAGAACAGACTGAAGGCTACACCTCTGATTGGTTCCATAATAGTTAGGAGGAAATCACATAGCTTTTTAAATTAAGTGGTGCTTCTTATTCACTCTTCTTTAAGAGATTAATTCTTTTTGTAACTCTTATTTATTTGAAGTCCTTCTTTATCCTGTATTGGCCATCATTTCCAAAGCCAAATGCAAATGTCCATACTCCTACTCAATCTCAAGGGTCTGCTGTTCACATTGCCATTCATCCTGTTCTGTTTGTTCTTCCTCCTGTCCTAACTGTGAATTTATGTTATTTCTCATACAGCATTTGATCTAGAAACGTGAAAGCTATTTGAGGTGTTTTTTCCTCCATGGCTATCACAAATAATAACGTGTGGTTTTAAAAATTATATCTCCCAACTGCCTCAAAAGGCTAACTCTTCTTTATTTCCATAGCCATTGTCCCTCAAAAGGCTAACTCTTCTTTATTTCCATAGCCATTATCCCTCTTCTGATCACCTTGTTACATTTCCCCCACGACCACAACCAACTTTTGTGATCACCCTGCTTCTTGGATTTGTCCAAACTGCAGATATGGTTATGCCACCCCTGCTGTGGACTGAATGTGTTCACCAAAATTCATATTTGAAACTTAATGGCCAATGTGATGAAATTAAGAGGTGAGATCTTTAAAAGGTGATTCAATCATTGGGGTGGAGCCTGCATGGATAAGATTAAGACTCTTGGAAATGAGCTTGAGGGAGTGGGCTTATTTTCTTCTGCTCTTCTACCATGTGAGGACCCAGCTTTCAATCCTCTTTGTCCTTCCCTCTCTTCTGCCATGTGAGGACAGAGCATTCATTTCTTCTGGAGGATGCAGCAAGAAGGCATCATCTTGGAAGCAGAGAATAGCCCTCATCAGACACCAAACTTGCTGGAGCCTTGATCTTGGACTTTACATTCTCCAGAACAGTGAGCAATAAATTTTTAGTGTTTATAAACTACCCAGTCTCAGGCATTTTGTTATAGCAGCTCAGACTAAGACAGACTAAGACAATATACAATGCCTTAGTTTAATACTTTAATACTTTCATGAATAACAATAGTAAATAAATGAATACAATTATTTAAATTATGAGATTGTTCATTGTCTCATTGTCTAGTCCTTACCTGTATCTGTCTCTCTCCACATTCTGAAATCGACCTTGTGATTTTTGCATAATTGTGTTATACATAACTGTATACCCAGATGTCCCTCAATTTCATATATATGTTTACAAAATAGACATTTTATCTTGCTCTTCTCTTTCCTTTTTATTTGATACTTTTCTTATCTATTATTGGTTTAGCTATTCCTAGTGGCCTAAAGATGTAATTTTATTGCAAACATCTGAACAACTCAATATATTCTTCACACTCCCTGCTTACTTTAAAGCTTTAGTATTTACACAGTTGGGGATATATCTATATAGAAATACTTATCAGTGAAGTAAACCTTTTTTCCCTGATGTTTCATCTTAATGGTAAAATCATCCTCCTGTTGCCATTACACTCTTCAACTTATGTATAAGAATTCTGTTAACTCTAAGCAGCATGTTTAAAGTAGGTTAGTTCAAAGTTGTGAGATGGTTGCACATTTTCAGTAGGTCTAAAAATTAAGTTCCACATTGAATTGTTTTAAAGCACTATGGCAAACATTAAAGTGTTTAATTCATTATTGAAACACTTTCATTACAGCAACAACAGTTTAACATCCTGCAGTGGTAATTCTAAATGAAAAATTAAGTATATATTTGTGTTAGCTTAGGTGGTTTATATATTCGATGATACAGTCTTGTTATACAGGATATTGCTCTTCAGAGAGAGAGGCATATGCTTTCAAGTGATTCATTTAAATGCATCAAATCAATACAGAATATTTTTAGACTAATTTTGTTTAATTGATTGAAGATTTTTCAGAACTTTTTTTCCCAGGGAACTTTAGTACAACTATGTCAGCACGAATCATGAAAAGAATGCATGAATACAGTAAAGAGTTCCTATTCATTTTAATTTTGAAAGATCTAAACTTCAGGGGAAAAATCCTTAAAACTACAATAAATAATCAAGTAAATGTAGGTATACCAATAATACTGGAAATGAAATAGTATTCCCCTTTTTGTTTTGTGTGTAATAAATTAAAGTAAAAATAAAGTTTGTGTGTGTCATTTTAATATATGAATTTTTAATGTGTAAGGGTTTTAAAAGTTAGTTTAAATTGAATACTCTGTCTCCTCTATTTATGCTTAAAATATTTCCATGCTTTTTGATTTTTTAAAATCATGCAGCACATATGAAGCTAGTTGGAATGGTGAATTAAGAAATATTGTACTTGGACATGTAAAAAATCCTAAAAGTTATACCTGCTTATATCGATGTAACCTATGCTCATAGTCTGGTTGATTGTAGATTGCTGATAACTTATTTTTTCATAGCTCTCTGCTTATTAGGGATTTTATATATCTTGATTTAATTAATTTAAATTTTCAGGGAGGGAAATCTTTGTTCTTGAACTGGGCCTAATTTAAATGTTATTCTTTAATGTCATCACTTGCCTTGGAGAATAGAATTAAGGATAGTGATATCCTTATCCATACTCTGTTTCTAACAATGGATTCATAGATTAGACTATGGGATAGTTCAGGAGAACTTTTTAATATTCAACTTGTGATCATCTAAACCTGCAATAGGAAAAGGAGATTAAGTTTGTTTATGAATGACATGTGCCATGACGAGCACAAAAATATCAACTTCATATTGCAGTTCTATTTTTTTCTTTCTTAGTGTAAAAAGCAGTTTCTCTGACTAAGATCAAGCAACCGAACCACTACTATATTGTTCCTACCACTAACGGCTGAGCTGTAATGCTAAACAGACAAGACAGTGGCCAGTGAAATACATTTCCTGCTTTTAATGCCAGGGACTCATATAGCAAAAATTGAAGACATGTTCCTCTAAGGAACTACTTTGATGATATATATATATATATGAGATATATCTCATATATATATATAGTTCCCCCCCCCCCCCAAGAGATTCATTAAGGCATCCTTGTACCTGTTTAACTTTCCTTGGAACAAGAATTGTTGATTGTGATGTAGAGGTAACCTATCTAGCAGTGTAGGGGCTATTTATGTGTGCCTATTTTAATTTAAGTAAAATTTAATTCCGTTCCTTGATCTCACTAGCCACATTTCAAGTACTCACTAGCCACATGTGACTGGTGACTAGTGACACTTCTATTAGTGCCAAAACTTGTAGCAGACCACCTTCTCCAGAGAAAGCATTCACATCTCATCCACTTAGGGAAACGACACCAATGACTTGGGGTATAACCAGTAATAATTAGGTCCTTATAGCTACTAATGAGTGTGTTTATGAGTCATATATGCCTAAAAATATATTTTGTACCTACAGTTGTTCATTTTTATTTATGATTTTAAATTTCCAGAGCACAAAACACATGCTCACTGTGAACAACAGGCACACAAAAAATCAAATGAAATAATGAAGAGTGGAGGAATGTAAAATGTGAAAGATCTCAGTCTCACCTACCAGATCTCCACTCCTCAGATGAAAGTTTTCTAAAAGTTTGGCACTAATCATTTCAGACCTTCATTCATCTATCCAGCACACATCTATCATATTATAAATAATTGAAGATCAAATAATATGTGCATTTTCTCCTATGTGGATTTGTCTGGGAAATCAAAAAATATTTCAGAAAAGTTTTGACCTTAGAAAATGAGTTAGAAAAATCTCAGATTTTATGCTACCATTTTAAAATTTGTCTGTGCATTTGTCTATGCATCCCAAATAACAAGACTGAGTGGGACGGGCGCAGTGGCTCATACCTGTAATCCCAGCACTTTGGGAGGCCAAGGCAGGTGGATCACCTGAGGTCAAGAGTTCGGCACCAGCCCGGCCAAAATAGAGAAACCCCATCTCTACTAAAAATATAGCAATTAGCTGGGCATGGGGGCCCACGCCTGTCATCCCAGCTACTCAACAGGCTGAGGCAGGAGAATCGCTTGAACCTGGGAGGCAGAGGTTGCAGTGAGTCGAGATCACCCCACTGCACTTCAGCCTGGGCGACAGAGCAAGACTTTGTCTCAACAACAACAACAACAAAAACAACAACAACTACCAAAAAAAAAAAAAAAAGACAGAGTGCCCCTACAATGAACACTGGTTGGTAAAGATTCCATAAGCCACTGGCAAAATTCTCCACTTTTTTCCCAGAATATGCAAATAATTGGACCAACTTGTCAAGCTATCAACATAAAAGGGCATTAGTAAAAACAAACTTATTTTCAAATTATAAAGAAACCATCTTATCATTTCCTTATCTATTATCAGGAAAGATATTTATTACTACCATATCCTTAAGCTTTAAACAAGGCCAGTAGTGCGATAGTAAATTGTGCTTCAGATTGAGAACTACTGACTCTTCATGGAAGAGATTGTCTGTAGGATATATTTCGTGTCAGCCTTTTGCCATTCAATAGTCATAAGGAAGGATATTATAAAAAGTAAATAAATCTTGGGGTGGGGGCTGTTAGGGGAAAGTCTAATTTCTTTCAAGCTGTAGTGTTCTTATATTCTCCATCACTTTCTAATTTTTTAATATCATATTTCATATGTAGATAGAGCCATAGATTATACAGGAAGCTGTTCAAATATCTATGTATGAAGCTATTCATGTAATAAAGAATTACATCTTCATATCTGCTTTCTTACATTTCAAAATTCCGTCTCTCAGAAGTATATCCTGAGTCTAATTAAATTGTAAATTTAGAATCCCCAATGAATTAAGAATCTTCCCAACCAAGCTGCAGATTTTATGAGTTTTGAAATGAACATATTTTCAATTAGAGTGGATAGTATGTGTTATTTTTTCCTGCGGGCAAATAGCCAAAATATATGCATTTCTCACTATACATACATGACACATGGAGAAGAAAGCAAATTTAATGGAACTGATGCCTTTGTAATGGCTGTGCAGGTCCCATAGGATACTCTTGTTGTGTAAGCAAATGGGTGAATGAGTGACTAGATGAGAATTTTGGGGTCACATTGCACTGCTCAATTTGGGACTGTTGATGTTTATAATTAAATAGAGAAATATCTAAATCCATACACAAAACATTGAAGGGATAATAAGAAACCACTGATGATAAGGGTATGAGGAAATTAGCAAACACTCTTACACTTCTGATGGGAATTTCAACCGATACTCTTAATTGGACCAAGGGTAAAATAATATAACAAAATGGCAAAAATAAATAACAGAAATACTCTTTAACTCAAAAATATCTCCTCCAGGAATATATTTGATAAAATGCTAACACAAGTATAAAAAGAAACTATTGCAATATTTTCTGTAAGAGCAAAATCCCATAAGCAGCCTGTCATCTACCACAGTGCACAGTTCTAGAAAATTAAAACCTAGGTGTGTGAAGTAGTTCTTAACTAGACCTTCACATCAGTATCAACCAATGTGAAAATGCTTTAATACATAGACCAAATGCTTACATTAACATGCCATATGAGCATTTTAAAAGATGTCTATATTGTGCTTATTTTATGAGACCACCAAAATAGATTACTTTATAAAGAAAAAAGAAAGGTAAAGAATAGCATTTCCATTTTAATTAAACAAAATGGTGCAGATGCATTAAATATGTATATGTGTAGGATATATATATATATATATATATATATATATATATATATATACATACTGTAAGATTACTATAGAAACAACTTCCTAGTTAACTATGTAAGTGGGAGGACAGTTTGTGGGTAGGACAAATAATATTTTTACTGTTTGATATTTTTATCATGTGCATTCATTATTTTATAATAAGATTAGGCCTGGCATGGTGGCTCAAGCCTGTAATCCCAGCACTTTGGGAGGCCGAGGCGGGCGTATCACGAGGTCAGGAGATCGAGACCATCCTGGCTAACGCGGTGAAACCCCGTCTCTACTAAAAATACAAAAAAACAAGCCGGGCATAGTGGCAGGCGCCTGTAGTCCCAGCTACTCGGGAGGCTGAGGCAGGAGAATGGCGTGAACCTGGGAGGCGGAGCTTGCAGTGAGCGGAGATCGCGCCACTGCACTCCAGCCTGGGCGACAGAGCGAGACTCGGTCTCAAAAAAAAAAAAAAAAAAAAAAAGAAATAAAGAAAACAAACTATCAGCCATGTGGAATAATTTATACCTTGGAGGTGGAGCCAAGATGGCCGAATAGGAACAGCTCCAGTCTACAGCTCCCAGCTGTGAGCCAGGCAGAAGACGGGTGATTCCTGCATTTCCAACTGAGGTACCGGGTTCATCTCACTGGTGAGTGTTGGAAAGTGGGTGCAGGACAGTGGGTGCAGCGCACCGAGCATGAGCCGAAGCAGGGCGAGGCCTCGCCTCACCCGGGAAGCGCAAGGGGTAAGGGAATTCCCTTTCCTAGTCAAAGAAAGGGGTGACAGAAGGCACCTGAAAAATCGGGTCACTCCCACCCTAATACTGCGCTTTTCCAATGGTCTTAGCAAACGGCACACCAGAAGATTATATCCCGCGCATGGCTCGGAGGGTCCTACGCCCACGGAGCCTCCCTCATTGCTAGCACAGCAGTCTGAGATCAAACTGCAAGGTGGCAGCGAGGCTGGGGGAGGGGCAGCCGCCATTGCGGAGGCTTGAGTAGGTAAACAAAGCGGCAGGGAAGCTCCAGCTGGGTGGAGCCCACCGCACCTCAAGGAGGCCTGCCTGCCTCTGTAGACTCCACCTCTGGGGGCAGGGCACAGCCAAACAAAAGGCAGCAGAATCCTCTGCAGACGTAAATGTCCCTGTCTGACAGCTTTGAAGAGAGTAGTGGTTCTCCCAGCACGCAGCTGGAGATCTGAGAACCGGCAGACTGCCTCCTCAAGTGGGTCCCTGACCCCCCGAGTAGCCTAACTGGGAGGCACCCCCCAGTAGGGGAGACTGATGCCTCACACGGTGGGGTACTCCTCTGAGACAAAACTTCCAGAGGAAGGATCAGGCAGCAGCTGTTCCTTCCTGTTCACCAATTGCTGTTCACCAATATACACTGTTCTGCAGCTTCCGCTGCTGATACCCAGGCAAACAGGGTCTGGAGTGGAACTCCAGCAAACTCCACAGACCTGCAGCTGAGGGTCCTGACTGTTAGAAGGAAAACTAACAAACAGAAAGGACATCCACACCAAAACCCCATCTGTACGTCACCATCGTCAAAGACCAAAGGTAGATAAAACCACAAAGATGGGGAAAAAACAGAGCAGAAAAACTGGAAACTCTAAAAATCAGAGCGCCTCTCCTCCTCCAAAGGAACGCAGCACCTCACCAGCAACGGAACAAAGCTGGACGGAGAATGACTTTGACCAGTTGAGAGAAGAAGGCTTCAGATGATCAAACTACTCCGAGCTAAAGGAGGAAGTTCGAACACATGGCAAAGAAGTTAAAAAACCTTGAAAAAAAAGTAGACGAATGGCTAACTAGAATAACCAATGCAGAGAAGTCCTTAAAGGACCTGATGGAGCTGAAAACCAAGGCACGAGAACTATGTGACGAATGCATAAGCCTCAGTAGCCGATTCGATCAACTGGAAGAAAGGGTATCAGTGATGGAAGATGAAATGAATGAAATGAAGTGAGAAGAGAAGTATAGAGAAAATAGAATAAAAAGAAACGAACAAAGCCTCCAAGAAATATGGGACTATGTGAAAAGACCAAATCTACGTCTGATTGGTGTACCTGAAAGTGACGGGAAGAATGGAATCAAGTTGGAAAACACTCTGCAGGATATTATCCAGGAGAACTTCCCCAATCTAGCAAGGTAGGCCAACATTCAAATTTAGGAAATACAGAGAATGCCAGAAGAGTCAGTTTTCTCATCGGCTTTACTGATGCTCCAGACTATACAAACTAAGTATCCCATATCATAAAGTATTAGGACATGAGGGCAACTGATAACTTTCTCATTCCATATCCCTCACTTTTCCTCCTTGGCTTAGCACAGTGACATTCTACTGAGCACTGGTAATGGGAGTAAGGTGGTTAATAAAAATCTTTGCTTAAAGGCCATAGTTACTGGAAAGTTAAGACCAGATTCTACAGATTTGTATTTATACGTTCACATTAAAATCACCTGTAGAATATTTTAAAACTAGATATTTGTTGGCCTCATGTTTTGAAGCTTGGATTCAGGATGCCTGGGTGAAGCTGGGGTATCTGTGTATTGAAGACCCATTGCTAACTCTAATATACAGTCTCAGTTTCTAGAGGGGGTAAAATAAAGCGTCAACATTTTTTAGACCATATGCATAAATGTTACTCTTTAATACATCCAAAAATGACAAAAGAGTAATTTAATCTCATCTTGTTTAAACACTTAAAAACCCAGAGAGAGAAAGAGATAAATTTGAAGGGATGCTGATGTGTAGCAGCGCCAAAGGTTACAATTTTCTGTTTCTCTCTGTTTGCCACTCTTCTGATTCTGTTCTGGAGGCCACTCTGCTATGTGAGAGAAAAATCCCATTTTTCCCTAGCCATCAGTCATGCAAGATCCCCCGCCATATATTTCCGGGGAGGTAGCACCTTAAATGGTAGCAGGATCTCAGTTAACCACGTAATATTCATACCAATACTTTTAGTATAAAGACAATTCAATTTCTGTAATTTCCAAGTTGTGCCTCAGAAACAATGCAACTTTTGAAAGTTTTACATTAGCCTGCATAATAAGTGCAAAGTATTTATAATGAGATTTGCTTCTGGCTGTGAATTGGCCAATGATAGAAGATCATATAAGAGTAGAGGGAAGACAGGATGTGGAACATCTTCCAATTTGGTGAAGGTACATCACTGATAAAAAGAAAGGCAGACATTTAGTGAGGTCACCTAAGAACTCTTATTGTCATAGGAAATGGTCCCAAATGGGCAGCAGACTCCATCCTGGTAGAATTTTTGAAGGAATTCCTCACTAATATAGGGTTAGGAGCATCCTAGATATTCCAGAATTCAGAAGTCTTTCTGCTTAGCAAGAGTGTAAAGGCAACTTCTCTGCCTTTAAGCAGATGGTTATAAATGACTAAATGTTTTTAAAAAGCAAGTGAGTCCAGGAACAAAGTAAATACTTACAGAAGAGG
This sequence comes from Homo sapiens, assembly GCF_000001405.40. Taxonomy (NCBI): domain Eukaryota; kingdom Metazoa; phylum Chordata; class Mammalia; order Primates; family Hominidae; genus Homo; species Homo sapiens. The sequence goes on from NC_000002.12 coordinate 193,906,803, forward strand.
ATAACACTTTGTAGTGCATCATATTGAGCATTACCAAAACCCCTTAGTACAACAATTTCATTTCATTATGATATTTTTTCCTCATTTATATATAGCCCTCTAGGTCTATCTTGTGGTACGTTGTTTACTTAAGGAAAATAATATACAATAAAATGTATTTATTGGAAGGAACTTGGTAGTAGTGCCCCAAAGACTCTTTAGTTTAGCATTTTACTATTTAATTTAAAATATATATAATTATAGTGTTATATTTTTGTGATTCTCAATATAACTAATATTTTCACATATATTGTTTAAATCTCAAAAGTACCTCATGAACTAAGTATCCTTATTACTTCTGTTTTACAGATGAGTGCAGCTCAAGTAAGTTAGCTAACTTACTCAAAACCAAATAATAGCAATTGGCATAAACATCTTTTTTTCCAACACAGAACTTCTGCCTCCCATTGGTGATAATTAATAATAGTATTTGATTTTCTGGGATTCTATGAATAGAATGTAATTTTTATTGCTTGTAGAAGCTTTCTGGCCTTGGTACTTCATTCAATCAACGTTTAATAATGTGACCTCCTTGAGGTATACTGTTAGAAAATAAAATTAATTAGTAGGAGCCCAATGGTGCAGATAACATAACTACTGAAACATCTGGTTCTCCCTCCCATGTAGGACATGGGCTCTACAAAGGGATAATTTTGAACCACAGATTTTTTTTTTGTATTGGGAAAGTAATTCATATTATATTAATAGACCACTGCACAAGATATTTAACTTTAAATGTGTCCCTTAAAAGTTAAATTGATGTTAAGATGGTTTTCTAAACTAATACACCAGATGAATCTTCAAGACTGGGGACAGCTGTCTGTTCTTTTACATCACACTTCCAACAGTGCTATCTCTAAGATGTGCTGGCAAGAAACAGGAAGTTCGTTTCAGCCAAATTTCCACATTTCAGAGTCTTGCTGATGAGAATAGGAAAAAAAGTCTCTCAACAAGTGTGGGTGGGTGATCAAACCACATGTATATAGTACATCACATACTCACACTTCCCTAATTCCAGAGAAGGACTATTTTTATGTCTACTTTTTGTGTTTTAGATAAATATCAACTCTTTCAGAAGCTAGTGCTTCAAGATGGAAACAAGTTTACTAAACAGTAAGTTATGATTTGAAAATTCAGCAATCACATTAAAAACTTTTCTGAGCTCATCTGGTTTTTAGAACTACAGGCAAATCTGAAAAAAAAATACATATGTTTTAATTTAAGGGCTTAAGCATTTTATGCACATCAAACATATGTTTCAGAATATTTTGCAAGTTCTAAAATGTCTTAGTTCAACAATGAGCTCTAAAAATGGCAATCATAATATACAGACAAAAATGTATCTTGCATATTTAATGTATCATTTAAATTTGATAGAATTACAAATGATTTAATTATATTGTACTTTATCATTAGCTTGTGTACTCTAAAGGAACATTAATATCTTTTCTCAGTTCAAATTTTGAAAAGGCCGGGCGCGGTGGCTCACGCCTGTAATCCCAGCACTTTGGGAGGCCGAGGTGGGCGGATCACGAGGTCAGGAGATCGAGACCATCCCGGCTAAAACGGTGAAACCCCGTCTCTACTAAAAATACAAAAAATTAGCCGGGCGTAGTGGCGGGCGCCTGTAGTCCCAGCTACTTGGGAGGCTGAGGCAGGAGAATGGTGTGAACCCAGGAGGCGGAGCTTGCAGTGAGCCGAGATCCCGCCACTGCACTCCAGCCTGGGCGACAGAGCGAGACTCCGTCTCAAAAAAAAAAAAAAAAAAAAAAAAAAAAAAAAAAAAAAAAAAAAAAAAAAAAAAAAAATTTTGATAAACACAATGTGCACAATGTTTTTGCAAACTTAGGAAAAATTGTGAGGTACTTTTACCTGTTATGGTTTCCTACAATATACTCCTTATCCCTGACAAAATGTGTTTTATTTATAACATATGTTGTTTTTGCACATATTATTTGTTTGACAATGATTTATTTTTTAAATGACGGTTCAAGAAAGAAAAACACATTGCAGTCACAAGTCACGTAACAATAGGGATATATTCTGAAAAATGCATGGCGGTTTTTGTCACAGTGTAAACATCATAGAGTGTACTTAAACAACTGAGATGGTATAACCTTCTATGTACCTAGACTATATGGTAGACTCTATTTCTCCTAGGCTGCAAACCTGTACAGCATGTTACTGTACTGAATACTGTAGGCAATTGTAATACCATGGTAAGTACCGTGTATGTAAACATATCTAAACATAGAGAAAGTAAAGTAAAATAAGGAGTATAAAATGGTATATAGAATACTTACTATAAATGGAGCTTGAAGGATTGGAAGTTGCTCTGGCTGAGGCAATGAGTGAGTGGTGAGTGAATGTGAAGACACAGGATTACCATACACTACTGTAGACTTAATATACGCTATGCACTATATTAATAGTTATATAATATTAGGCTGCACTAAATTTATTAATACTGGCATATCTTGTTTCATTGTGCTTCACTTACTGTGCTTCGCAGATGTGTCTTTTTACAAATTAAAGGTTTGTAGGCATCCCTTCATCGAGCAAGTCTATCACTGCCATTTTTCCAACAGCACGCACTCACTTCATGTCTTTCTGTCACATTTTGGTAATACTCATAACATTTCAAACATTTTCATTATTTTAAATGTGTCATGGTGATCTGTGGTTAGTGATCTTTGATGTTACTATTGTAATTGTTTTGGGGCACCACAATCTGTGCCCATATAAAACAGTGAACTCAACTGATAAATGTGGTATGTGTTCTGACTGTTCCACCAACAGCCTGTTCCTTCATCTCTCTCCCTGTCCTCAGGCCACGCTATTCCATGAAACACAGCAATCTTGAATTTAGGTCAATTAATAACCCTACAATGGCCCTTTAAGTTTTCAAGTGAAAGGAAGAGTCACACATCTCTTATTTAAAATCAAAAGCTAAAAATGATTAAGCTTAGTGAGGAAGGCTCAATGAAAACTCAGATAAGCTGAAAGCTATTACTCTTGTGCCAATCAGGTAGCTTAGTTGGAATGAAAAGGAAAGTTCTTGAAGAAAATTAAAAATTCTATTCCAATGAACACACAAATGATAAGACAGTGATCAGCATTATTGCTGAAATGAAGAAAGTTTTAGTGGTCTGGATACAGCAAACCAGCCACAACATTCCCTTAAGACAGAGCCTAATCCTGAACAAGGCCCTAACTCTCAGCGATTTTTTAAGGCTTAGAGGAGTGAGAAAGATGCAGAGGGAAAATTTGAAGCTAGTAGAGCTTGGATCATGAGGTCAAAGGAAAGAAGCTATTTCCATAACATAAATGTGCCAAGTGAAACAGCAAGTTCTGATATAGACTCTGCAGCAAGTTATTCAGAAGATCCAGCTAAGATCATTGATGAAAGTGGCTGCACTAAACAACCTATTTTCAATGTAGACAAAACAGACTTCTATTGGGAAAAGGTGCAATCTGTAATTTTCTTATTTTTTCTTTCTTATTTTATTTTATTTATTTTATTTTTTGAGACAGAGTCTTGATTTGTTGTCCAGGCTGGAGTGCAATGGTGTGATCTTGGCTCACTGCAACCTCTGCCTCCTGGATTAAAGCCATTCTCCTGCCTCAGCCTCCTGAGTAGCTGGGATTACAGGCATGCACCACCATGCCCAGCTAATTTTTATATTTTTAGTAGAAAGGAGGTTTCACCATGTTGGTCAGGCTGGTCTTGAACTCCTGACCTCAAGTGATCTAACTTCCTCAGCCTCCCAAAGTGCTGGGATTACAAGGCATGAGCCACCACACCCAGCCGCCATCTAGGACATTGATAGCTAGAGAGGAGAAGTCAACACCCAGCTTTAAAAGGACAGGCTGACTTGTTAGGGACTAAACAATTGCTATTGATAAGCCATTGTAATTTAACTTGTTCTTACAAATACAAACTTTTTTTTTCTTGTTTAGTTATTTTCTTGATGTTCCCTTTTGTTTTAATAATTTTCAGAAACCAGAGTACAATGTATTGGAATATGTTTAAAATATACTTATTTTTCTTTATCTATCATACTCAAATCAGTTGAATTATTACTGCTTAAATTTCTTTGCAAAATGTACTTTATATTTGGCTTTTCTTCTCATTTTTTAAATCCACTATAGGTCTTCACTTGTGCTACTAATAATTAGAGCACATATTGACTGTAAGAGACTGTTTTAATTCTAGCATATATTATATATGGGCAACACAACACTTAGACTGTAGACATCAAATCAATTTTTCACAAAATGTTAATAAAAACAGTTATTGTGCAGATAAATGTTCCAGGATGCACCAGTCAGTACCAATGATATAAGCGCAAATTTTTTTTTTTTTTTTTTTTTTTTTTTGAGACAGAGTCTCACTCTGTTGCCTGGGCTGGAGTGCAGTGGCGTGATCTCAGTTCATTGCAACCTCCACCTCCCGAGTTCAAGCAATTCTCCTGCCTCAGCCTCCCGAGTAGCGGGGACTACAGGCGCATGCTGCCATGCCCTGCTAATGTTTTGTATTTTAGTAGAGACAGTTTCACTGTGCTGCCCAGGCTGGTCTTGAACTCCTGAGCTCAGGCAATCCACCCATCTTGGCCTCCCAACGTGCTAGGATTACAGGATTGAGCCACCATGGCTGGCCTGCAGTCGTTTTTTATTCTGGAAAACAGAGACTATTATGTACATGTGTTAAACTACCTTCCATTTCACTCTACATTAATTTAGTGATCCCTTGAATACTATTATTATTTTTTCTTCCTGTTTTTCATTAGGATGGTCATTCTGAGTGAAATATAACAGGAGATCCATGAGTACTTAGCATGAAAATTTCTACTATTGTAAAAATTTTGTAGAGGTTTTTTATTGTTGTTTTTTTTTTTTCAATTTAATATATTCTATGTCTACTTATTTCCATCCCATTACGCCAGTCACAGGACAGTCTTTAAAATGTAATTTTGGTGCCAGCAATCTGCAGGTATAAAATGTGTATTTTTCCATCAACGTAGCTCTAGCCACAGTGAGAAGTCATAAAGAAAAATTACATTCAAAGGTAACCCAGAAATGTCAATTTAGCCAATCATCTTATATCACTTAATATGAAAGATACTAAGTAGCAAAATTGTCAAATTTAATTTTCACCTTCTGTTTCTTACCACCTTTTGGTGGAGCTGCTAATAAGCAGTGAAAAGGATAAACGGCAGGCATATGTGGACAGAAGAAGGCAAAATGAAATATTTCACAGCTGTAATTATTAGCCTGTGAATAAGTGACTGAAATGGTGGCTGAAATTGCAATCAAGAATATGTTAATGACATCTGCATACAAGTGATCTGTGTTTGCATGAAATAATATTTTAACATTTTTTCAGTGAGCAATTTATTGACCCTGAGACTTTTTTCTCCCATATCTCATTTTACACACACAGCACACCACTCATGGACACATACACATACATATGCACACACAAAAAAATATACATATGGACATAGGGATCAGTAAGACTCATGAGTATCCCTAATAAAATAATGTACAAAAATATATGAGAGGACAATGATTATTCCCCATATGGGGTGAAAAATTTATGAGCATCATTCTCTTAGGTGCTAAGCTGTGACTCTTAAAAATTAATTATTTATATATTCTAGCTAGAATAATTAATAAAATATGACCTTTATAAGCCTAGAGAATGGGTTCAAGCATATTTCTCTTATAATTAAGTAATAAGGTCATAGCTTATGAGATCTTTTCACTAGGTTCCATAAAACATTACAACAATTGCTTTGCTTCTGTGTAACAGTTGATTCTTCTGGGAGACTGATAAGAATAACAAGAGGCAGAGATCAATTAAAAATATAATCTCTACAGCTACATATGTGCTAGTATTTTAAACTCATAGGAACAGGGTTGATCCAAGAAAAAAATAAAGGCAAAGTAGGCAGTTTTGATTTCACTGCCATTATAAGTCTCATTTTCTCCATATTTTCTATACTATAGTAGTTGTTTATCTATGTTTTATAAATTGAAAATGTATGCATGTGCACACACACATATATAAAAATAACTATTTTGACCATTATTTTGTAGACTTATTTTTAAGAAACTATATCTACCATCCACTGTTTCCTCTTTCATACTTTCTTATTATGAAGTCTCATAATTCTATGCCCATATCTATCCCCAACAATGCACTGTGTGCTTTATGAAAGCAGGGAATGTCTTATGCATCTTATCTTCAACTACTAACGTGATGTCTATTATATACCAATTAAATAGTATATGGTATTATACTAAATAAATAACTATACAAATGTATTGCATAAAATTATAATAATAAACATATAAACACATAATAAACATATAAAACAAAATTGAGTTCAACAAATAAAAACACACTGATTTTCTGATCTTTTATATACAGTGTAATCAGATAAACACAGTCTGGTAATCAATATATTTTATTCCAGAATCATAGCTTATGAATTGGTTTCTATAAAAATAAAGTCAGCTTTGTGCTGTTTATCCACAATATATTCAAGTGAAACCCAATGTTATGTTTCTTTTTTTTTCTTTTTTCTCTTTCTTTCTTTCTTTCTCCTTCCTTCCTTCTTTCCTTCTTCTTTCTTTCTTTCCTTCTTCTGTTTTTAACTAAGAATATTTCACTTGAGATCTAGCCTCTCAACAAGTTTAAGTATAATCAAAAATTTTAAGAATAATTCCTATAACTTAGTCATCCTTATATGAATTAACTAAAATAGTCACCTCTGTAGACACAGAAAGTAAAATAGTTGTTGCCAGGGCTTGGGGGATAGAGGAATTGGATATTGCTGTTCATTGGGTAAAATTTTAGTTAGCAGTCTGTCTCTTATAACTCACATGCTTTCAGTGTGAGAGAGAATAGTTTCAAAATGGATGGGGAGCAGTAAAGAAGGAAGAAAATGACCTAAGACACACACACACACACACACACACACACACACACACATATATATATATGGATTTATCCATATATAATAAGTTACATATGGATTTATCCATATATAATAAGATACATATGGATTTATCCATATATAATAAGATACATATGGATTTATCCATATATAATAAGATACATATGGATTTATCCATATATAATAAGATACATATGGATTTATCCATATATAATAAGATACATATGGATTTATCCATATATAATAAGATACATATGGATTTATCCATATATAATAAGATACATATGGATTTATCCATATATAATAAGATACATATGGATTTATCCATATATAATAAGATACATATGGATTTATCCATATATAATAAGATACATATGGATTTATCCATATATAATAAGATACATATGGATTTATCCATATATAATAAGATACATATGGATTTATCCATATATAATAAGATACATATGGATTTATCCATATATAATAAGATACATATGGATTTATCCATATATAATAAGATACATATGGATTTATCCATATATAATAAGATACATATGGATTTATCCATATATAATAAGATACATATGGATTTATCCATATATAATAAGATACATATGGATTTATCCATATATAATAAGATATATATGGATTTCAGTAATAACAATAAATATGAGTAGCTTAAACTAAAGACTAGGTTTGTCAGGATGGATTAAAAATCAAGATCCACCTGTGTAATCTTCAGGAGACACTCTCTAGATTGATTCAAAGATACAAATAGAGTGAAAGTTAAAAAAAAAAGAACAAATTTAGCAAATAAATGCAATCTTTCTAAATTGAAAAACTGCAAAATCTTGTTGAAATAAATTAAATAATACCTAAATAAATGGAAGGATATCCTGTGTTCATGGATTGAAGGATTTAGTATTGTCAAAATGGCAATACTCCCCAAATTAATCTATAGATTGAATGCAATCTGTGTCAAAGGTTATTTCCCAACTTTATATGAAAATAAAGCAGACACAGAATAGCCAAAACTGTCTTGAAAAAACCCACCTAGTGAAGGTTCACACTTTCCAATTTCAAAACTTACTGCAAATCTAAAGTATTCAAGATACTGTGGCATTGGCATAAGGATAGAATTATATAAAACACTTAGAAGAAAATATTGGAGTAAATATTTGTGTATGGAGGTTAAGCACTGCTTTCTTAAATATGGCATCAAAAGCACAAGTAAGGTAACAAAGTAGATAAATTGTATTTTATCAAAACTAACATTAGTGTGTGCAAATGGTATCAAGAAATGGGAGCATGCAAAATAGGAGAAAGTATTTGGAAATCATGTATCTGATAAGGCATTTGTATCTAGAATATATAGAGTACCTACAATTTCAACTACATATGCTAATCAATTAAAATGGGTCAAATAATATGAATAGATATTTCTCTAAAGCACATGAAAAAATGCCCAACTGTATTAGCCTCCACAAAAATGCAAATTAAAATGACAAGATATTATTTTACATCCACTAGGATTGCTCTAAACAAAAAGGCAGATGATAAGTGATCACTAGGATAAAGAGAAATTAGATCACTCATACACTGGTAGTGGGAATGTAAAATGTTGCATTGCTTTTGAAAAGTTTGAAAGTTCTTCTATAATTTGATCATACATCTTTCATATGTGCTAGCATTTCCTCTCCTAAGTATGTGTCTCAGAGAAATAAAAACACACAAACACACAAAAGCTTTTTACATAAATGTTCATAGCAGAATTATTCGTAATAGGCAAAAGCATAAACCACCCAAATTTTTATCCACTGATTTACAAATAAATAAAAAAATGATACATCCACACAGTAAAATAATATTTGGCAAAAAAGAAATAAAATATTGATCCATGCTACAACATGGATTATGTTTAAAAACATGCTACTTAAAAGAAGTCTATCATAAAAGATTACATATTGTGTGATTTCATTTATATGAAATGCCCATATTAGGCAAATTTATAAAGACAGAAAGTACATTTGTGGTTTCCAGAGCTGTGGGAGTTTTGGAATTCTGAATGACTGCTAATGAGTATTGGGTTTCTTTTGAAGTAAAAAGTTTAAAATCAATTGTCGTGATAAGTGTAACTCAGAAAAAGTATTGAAAACCATTGAATTGTGCACTTTAAATGAATGAATTATATAGTATATAAAATATAGCTCAAGGAAACTGTAAAATTTGTACATGAAGAGTTAAATATATAATGGTACATACAAAAAGTGAAAGCAATTATGGATGAAAAAGTACAGAATTGACCTATGGTAAGCTATGTATCCTTAGATGTCTGTCTGTTAAATTAGTACTTTGGAATAAATATGTTACTCATTCAAGACAAGCTTTGGTGGATGTACACAGTAGAGCAGTAGTATACATAGTAAGAAAAAGAAAGATCTACCAAGATGTGCGGGCAGGGGCAGTAGATCAAGGACTTTTCTTGAAAGCTTCTTAATTAAACCCATATCTTAACTCTTTTTTGTTGAACTTTTGTCCTTATTCCTCTTTGCTATTCTTCAAGGTAATCAGTGTGAAAAATAGATGGCTTTTAGAATTTGCTTTCTTAAATTTCTTTTTGAAAAACTTTACTGACTATTGACAACTGGGAACTTCGATAAATGTAATAAAAACACAGAGCATAAAAATGTAATTTTAAAAAATGTTTAAATATTTGTGATTCATGAATCTTCAACATTTAAAATCTTCACTCACATTATATATGATACATTCCTGGGAGCATTGTAGATGTCATACCTATAAAATTAGTTTCCAGCAATCTTTTAGTAATTGACTACGGATTTCGTAGTGAATTTGTCATTCAGTTTGCATTCTGGTAAATACCAGTGTGTCTCACTGATATTTACGTTTTGCTCTCTGGCAGGAAAGCTACTCTGTGGAAATTAAGCATTTATAAATCTTTTCTAGCAATAGGGTTTAATACAGTGAGCTGAAACAAATGTATTATATGGTAAACTTCAAGGACCTTGTACGTTTTGTTTAGAAATAAAATCCTTTATAAATAAAAGAATATTTAAAAGCACATGTGCACTTATCCAGGGAAAGTATCGTTCATTTTTTACTTCTAGCTTATATTTCTGGTCTTCTATGAGTTTTTATGCTATACACACTTTTATAGTTCTTATCAACTCACCAAGATCTAACAATAAACTCCTCATTAATAATCCCTGCATCTGCATATCTAGCCCCATAAAATTCAATAAAACAATTTGCTTTTACATAAATTCATTTGTATGTTCTTTTCTTTTTCAGAATAAACCCATGCACGGTAAATGCTACTTTTATTTTCTTCCCATTTAAATCCTTTTCACAGTTTTTGTATTTCTGTTTTTTTGTTGTTTTGTCCCTGTTGTTCTTTCTCTTTCATTTCCTTCCTTCCTTTGTTCCCTCCTTCCTTCCTTCTTTCTTTTTTTCCTTCCTTCTCTTTTTCCTTTCTTTCTTCCTTTCCCCTTTTCTTTCTTTTTTTATTTTTTATTTTATTATTATTATATTTTGTGTTTTAGGGTACATGTGCACAACGTGCAGGTTTGTTACATATGTATACATGTGCCATGTTGGTGTGCTGCACCCATTAACTCGTCATTTAGCATTAGGTATATCTCCTAATGCTATCCCTCCCCTCTCCCCCAACCCCACAACAGGCCCCGGTGTGTAATGTTCCCCTTCCTGTGTCCATGTGTTCTCATTGTTCAATTCCCACCTATGAGTGAGAACATGCGGTGTTTGCTTTTTTGTCCTTGCGATAGTTTGCTGAGAATGATGGTTTCCAGCTTCATCCATGTCCTACAAAGGACATGAACTCATCATTTTTTATGGCTGCATAGTATTCCGTGTTGTATATGTGCCACATTTTCTTAATCCAGTCTATCATTGTTGGACATTTGGGTTGGTTCCAAGTCTTTGCTTTTGTGAATAGTGCCGCAATAAACATATGTGTGCATGTGTCTTTATAGCAGCATGATTTATAATCCTTTGGGTATATACCCAGTAATGGGATGCTGAGTCAAATGGTATTTCCAGTTCTAGATCTCTGAGGAATCGCCACACTGACTTCCACAATGGTTGAACTAGTTTACATCAGAGTGAACAGGCAACCTACAGAATGGGAGAACATTTTTGCAGTCCACTCATCTGACAAAAGGCTAATATCCAGAATCTACAATGAACTCAAACAAATTTACAAGAAAAAAACAACCCCATCAAAAAGTGGGCAAGGGATATGAACAGACATTTCTCAAAAGAAGACATTTATGCAGCCAAAAAACACATGAAAAAATGCTCATCATCACTGACCATCAGAGAAATGCAAATCAAAACCACAATGAGATACCATCTCACACCAGTTAGAATGGCGATCATTAAAAAGTCAGGAAACAACAGGTGCTGGAGAGGATGTGGAGAAATAGGAACACTTTTGCACTGTTGGTGGGACTGTAAACCTTTCCCCCTTTTTTTCTTCCTTCCCTCCTTTCTTCCTTCCTGTCCTAGATATCTGTGGAACTTTGAGCTTGAGAGAGATAAGTCAGCATATCTCATAGAAGCAATTTCTAAGTGGCAAAGTGTTCAAGAGGAGCAGAGCATAAAAGTTTGGAAAATTTGCAGCCTGAACATGAGGTTGGAAAGAAAACCCCATTTTCTGGGAAGAAATTCAAGCTGGCTGCAGAAATCTGCATAAGTAATGAGGAGGTGAATGTTAATCACCAAGACAGTGAGCAAAATGTCTCCAGTGTATATCAGAGATGTTCACAGTAGGCTTTCCCATCACAGTCCCAGAGACCTAGGAGGGCAAAATGGTTTCATGGGCCAGGTTGCCCTGCTCTGTGCCTCCTTGGGACACGGTGCCCTGCATCCCAGCTTCTTAAGCCCCAGCTGTGGCTAAAAGAGGCCAATGCACATCTCAGGCCATGGCTCTAGAGGGTGCAAGCCCCATGCCTTGGGAAGCTTCCATGTGGTGTTGAGCCTGTGAGTGCACAGAAGTCAAGAATTGAGGTTTGGGAACTTCTGTCTAGATATCCAAGGATGTATGGAAATGCCTGGAAGCCCAGGCAGATATTTTCTGTAGGGGCAGAGCTTCATGGATAACCTCTGCTAGGGCAGTGCAGAAGGAAAATGTGGGGTTGGAGCCCCCACACAGAGCCCTCAATGGGACCCTGCCTAGTGGAGCTGTGAGAAGGAGGCCACCATGCTCCAGAACCCAGAATGGTAGATCCACTGATAGCTTGTACCATGTGCCTGGAAAAGTTACTGACACTAAATGCCAGCCTGTGAAAGCAGCTTGGAGGGGGACTGTACCCTGCAAAGCCACAAGGGTGGAGCTGTCCAAGGCTGTGGGAGCGACCTCTTTCTTGCATCAGCATGACCTGGATGTGAGACATGGAGTCAAAGGAGATCATTTTGAAACTTTAAGGTTTAATGACTCCCATATTAAATTTCGAATTTGGATGGATCCTCTAGCTCCTTTGTTTTGGCCAATTTCTCCCATTTGGAATGGGTGTATTTACCCAATGCCTGTACCCCCGTTGTATCTAGGAAGTAACTGACTTGCTTTTGATGTTACAGGCTCATAGGCAGAGGAGAATTGTCTTGTCTCAGATAAGACTTTGGACCAGGATATTTGAGTTAATACTGGAATGAGTTAAGATTTTGGGTGACTATTGGGAAGGCATGATTGTGTTCTGAAATGTAAGGACAGAAGAGACTAGGCGTGATTTGGCTGTGTTCCCATCCAAAATGTTATCTTGAATTGTAATCTGAATTGTAATCCCCACGTGTTAGGTGATGGACCTTGGGGGAGGTGATTAGATCATGGGGAAGTTTCCCCATGCTGTTCATATTATACTGAGTGAATTCTCACAAGATCTGATGGCTTTATAAGCATCTGGCATTTCCTCTGCTGGCACTCATTCTGTCTCCTCCTGTCTTGTGAAGAGGCGAGTTTCCCCATGATTGTAACTTTCCTGAGGCCTCCTCAGCCATGCTGAACCATGAATCAATTAAACCTCTTTCTTTATAAATTACCCAGTCTCAGGCTGGGTGCAGTGGCTCATGCCTGTAATCCCAGCACTTTGGGAGGCCGAGGCGGGTGGATCACCTGAGGTCGGGAGTTTGAGACCAGCCTGATTAACATGGAGAAACCCCGTCTCTACTAAAAATACAAAATTAGCCGGGCATGGTGGCACATGCCTGTAATCCCAGCTACTTGGGAGGCGGAGGCAGGAGAATCACTTGAACCCAGAAGGCAGAGGTTGTGGTGAGCTGAGATCGCGCCATTGCACTCCAGCTTGGGCAACAAGAGCGAAACTCCGTCTCAAAAAATAAATTAAAAAAAATAAATAAATAAATAAATAAATAAATAACCCAGTCTCAGGTGCGTCTTTATTATCAGTGTTGTGGGAGGTACCTCATGAGAGGTGATTAGATCATGGGAGTGGTTCCCCCATGCTGTTCTCATGATAGAGAGTGAATTCTCTTGAGATCTAATGGTTTTATAAGAAATATCCCCCGCTTCACTCTGCACTTCTCCTTCCTGTTGCCTGTGACATAGGTGCCTTCATCCCCTTTGCTTTCATGATTGTAAGTTCCCCGAGGCCTTCCCAGCCATGTGGAACCGTGAGCCAATTAAACCTCTTTTCTTTATAAATTACCCATTCTTGGGTATTTCTTTATAGCAGCATGAGAATGGACTAATACACAACCCCATTAAAAAGTGGGTAAAAGACATAAACATGAACAGATACCTCTCAAAAAGAGACATACAAGTAGCCAACAATCATATGAAAAAATGCTCAACATCACTGATCATTAGAGAAATGCCAATTAGAACCACAATGAGATACCATCTCACACCAGCTAGAATGGCTATTATTAAAAAGTCAATAAATAATAATTGCTAGTGAGGCTGTGGCATAAAAGAAATACTTTTAGACTGCTGGTGGGAGTGTAAATTAGTTCAATCATTGTGGAAGAAGACAGTATGGCAATTCCTCAGTCACCTAAAGTCAGAAATATCATTCAACCCAGCAATCCCTCTAGTAGGAATATACCCAAAAGAACATAAACCATTCTATTATAAAGACACATGCATGCGTATATTTATTGCAGCACTATTCATTATAGCAAAGATATGGAATCAATCCAAATGACCATCAATGATAGAATGGATAAAGACAATGTGGTCATGTATACCATGGAATACTATGCAGCCATAAAAATAGAATGAGATCATGTTCTTTGCAGAGGCATGGATGGAGCAGGAAGCCATTATTCTTAGCAAACTAATGCAGAGACAGGATACCACATGTTCTCACCTATAAGTCAGAGCTAAATGATGAGAACACATGGACACATAGAGGAAAACAACACACACTGGGGCCTATTTGAGGGTGGAGGTTAGAAGGAGGGAGAGGATATGGAAAAATAACAAATGAATACTGGGATTAATACTTGGGTGATGAAATAACCTGTACAACAAACCCTCATGACACACAATTACCTGTGTAACAAACCCGCACATCCTGCACATGTACCCCTGAACCCCTGAACTTAAAATAAAAGTTTAAAAAGTAAAAAAAAAATGTTGATATAAAGATGCTGGTATCTGGCAAGGGCCTTCTTACTGCATTATAGCATGATGGGAGGCATCACATTGTAGAAGAGCAGAAGGGTAAAGAAAGAGGGCGAAAGAGAACCAGCTCTTTTATAATGCCACCAATCCCTCCCATGAAGGTAAAGCTCCCATGGCCTAATCACCTCTTAAAAGTTGTACCTCTTAATATTATTACACTGGCAACCAGATTTTACATGAAGTTTGTAGGAGATGAACATTCAAACTGTAACACCTTTTAATTAACCTCTCCATTTGCACTGCCTGCACAATTTCTCCTGAACACTGCCTACTGATTCTTCAACCATTATCATGTATCTTTGAAAAATATATTAATGGATACACATCATAACAATATAAAGTTAAAATTATTTTTAAGCATTCACATTCTCCATACTTTCTACTACTCCGTACACATCTACTACTTGTCAGTCATGTTCACCATTTATCCATAATAATAATCTTCTCTACCAGGTTTCTTTGAAAAGCTCACTATCTTATTTATGACTAAGAAATTAATGGCCTTTATTTGAAGCATTTTATTTAGTAAAGTGTTTCCTGGTATTCCCACATTTTTATGACAGTTAATATCAGATCTATCTCTATGAAAATGTCCATGCTTATCTATATTTATTTTATTTATTTTTAACCACCAAATTTTCCATCTATGTTGAAAAACCTTCAAAAATAAGAATACTGCATATTGCCCTATATTCTCTAGAAAAGAGTACATGTATATTAGAGAACCTCAAACACATTGCTTGTCTAATAAATTATTCAGAATTATTTAACTTAGAATTTGCATACTACATGCACACTTTTATAGTAATTTTTATATAACTATTAAAAGAGTGCAAAATGGAGAACAGAGATAAGCTTTGAAGCTAGATAAACCTGGATACAAATAACACTATTACCAACTATACTTATGTTGGAATAATTATTGACATCCTGGTTCTTCTTTTTCTTCATCTTAAAATGGAGATAATAATACAGGTTGAGCATCCTAAATCTGAAAATCCAAAATGTTCCAAAATTCAAAACTGCTTGAGTGCCAGCATGATGCACAAAGGGAATGCTCATTGGAGCATTTCATGTTTTATGTTTTTGGATTTGGCATGCTCAACAGGGGCAAATACTCCAAATATAATGCAATTATTCCAAAATTTGAAAAAAAGTTCTAAATCCAAAATATATCTGTTCCCAACCTATATCAACTTTTCCAAGACATTCTGAAGATAAAATTAAGCAGAAAAATTAGATCACCCGTAAGAGTTTCTGAGTGCTCCCTTAAATGGTAAAACAAAAATACGTTGTTACTATATTGAGATATATTTACAACATAGAAATGACAAGCTTTTAATATAACAATATCAAATTTTACTTTAAAGAATACATTGCTAAAATTTTACATTTATAGAAAAATAAACTAATATGAAAAAACTCATGACATTACTATATTTATTTAACTTGGTGGCTTTCAGTTTTGCAACAGATGAGACCTTATTATTTAGATAAACTGAAATTCTAATTGCTCTGTAGCATTTGGAAAGCTCCTCTAAAATGAAGATTAACCCAGGATGACTAAAACTACCCTTGTATAGAATTTGTTTCAATCAATTTTATATTTACTATATGTATGTAGCTTTTCAGCTATTGCACACATGCGCAAAAAGCAATAACTTGCATTAACAGTATCTACAGCATGTACATCTTTATTCAATTACATCTCACCTCAAGCAATTTTTTTCCTACCCTGCATCGATTTGGTTGTTTTTAACCTTTCATCACTTCTTCCTTTCACTCCTCTCTAATTCCAAAAGGTACATCATGATATCTTTACTCATTGTTTTGTAACAAATTCTCTTACAACCAAGGTGAATAGATGTTTGAGTTTATAAGAGAAAAATCCAGCATTAAACCAGGATACCACAGCAACAATCCTTTACAGATACCCAAAGCATTCATGGTAAAATTTTAGATTCTTTATATTACTTGAAGATACTTTAATGCTGATGTGAATAAATTTTAAGTCACATTTTTCTGTTCCAAGAAGCAGGTTAACAGACAAAATTTTAAAAAATAATAATTCACAAATCAGTAGAACTTGATTTGAGTCCTGACTGTCAGTTATTTGTTTTGTGATTTGGAACAGGCTGCTTAATTGGTTTACCCTAAGATTGAGCATCTATAAAAATATGCTAATTGCAGTAGCCTTATGAGGAATTAAAAAGTTTATATTTGATACCATTTCATTATTTAGAAATAATTCTCAAAAGCCATAGAATCTGCTGATCAAAGTAACTTTTTTAGAAATCAAAAGTAAAGCACAAATATTAAATTTGCCTGGGAAGTTTATATATGAATGATACATATATAACATAAAATATTATTTATAACAACATTTTAATCAATTTGAATGTAATTTTGATATTTTTAATAAAAACTAAGTAAGGTTTACAAAGTGAAGTAAATCATTGCTTATTGGAAAACACATATTAGTGACAAATATGCCAATTTAAAACTGAGAAAATTTTGTACAATGTGAACAGATTTTGTTGTTATGTATACAGGATTTTAAATAAGCTTATTCTAAAAAATCTTCAGCATAGAGTTACAGTAATTAATGTGCACTAAACAAGCAATTTACTCTGGCCCATCATCCACATTTGACAAATGGTGATGGTTTGCAGTTAGACTAAGTGCAGTTGCTTTAAATTTATCACACATGAGCTTAATGGTTGCTTTATCCTCCTTTATTGGAAATCTATTGTAGCCTATACATAAGGGATATAAAGTGTGTCCAGGAAATGTTTTCCAATCATAAGCTTTAAGAAACTGTACCCTAAGGATTTAAATATATTACAATGCAAAGTAAACTGAAGTTTAATCATTCCATGGAATAGGAAACTTCCAGAAACAGTATCTAACAAGACATTAATGCTGAGGTAAAATAACAGACACTGTGGTAAATAAATATTTGGTTCTCAATATTCAATTCTAATTGTGTAAAAACAAGTGATACATATATTTATGTAAAACTACCTTCTCAGTTAAGTCATTTTTCACCAAACACAAGTTGCAAATAGAACTAGATAAAATGAACAGATACAGATATTTTGCTGATGGTGTATATGTGAAAAAGGTAACGTTGAAGCAATATTAATACAAACACCAAGATATATGCAGTGATATAATTTACAAAGCTGTAGTTGAAGTAGAAAGGACAATAATAATGATTTTTTTTGGAATTTTAGGCACTGTAATTATCAAATAGTTTCCTAAGCATCTAAATACTCAGAGTTATCTTCAATTAATTATGCTAATTACAGTTGGAATTTTCCATACAATTATTTAGACCTTAGATATGTCTTATCCAAAGATGTTTTCATGTTATTTTTAAGATTCAATCGTGAGTTTCGATTCTTCAAGTAATTGGAAAGATTATAGCTCTATAAATTAAGGATGTAGCCTATTATATTATTTCTCATCCATGTTATCACATTCTGGCACATTTTAGTGTGTCTTTGGTGTTCCAACAAAGTACAGTGAAATTTGTAGTGAAGAAATCCATCGTACTAAAAGCAATGGTAAAAGTGAATTTTATGTACCAGAAAAATGCATTTCAGAAAATAACAAATTCATATCTAGCAAATTGTCAATTTGTGAAGAGAAATGTTCAAGCAGAAAAGCTATTTCATGCAAGTTAATTTAAACATAAACAAAATTATTGATTATATTGAAGGACTGGCACGTAGAGGCTAATTAAAAAGCTACTTTGGGATTAGAAGTGTTTTTGGTGATTACACAAATCACAACAAATTTCTGCCTATAAACTTTTTTCCAAATGCTGAATCACCAGAGTGGCAGTTTTAGATTCCTAACTTTTAAGAGATCATATCAATGTCATAAACGTATTTTGTGCTTTAATGTCTCACCTTTGTCAACCACGTATTTTCAGCAGTCTACGTTCTGTCTCTCTAGCCCATCTGTACCTCGTACTTTAGAATCAGAATTATAAAATTTTGAGAGTTCCACAAAATTTTGCTTTGTGCCTCCAAGCTTTTATTCATTCCAGGTGCTTATTTTTTAGTTTCTTCAGTCTACTGCATCATGGACACAAATTAAAGCCTGATTCAGATATCATTTCTATTACGTGATTCTTTCCCATCCTCTCTCAAATCATTGAGAACTTAAGTAAATTTGAAGTTGCACACATCTCTGTTACTGCTCCTATGTAATGACACTTTCAAATGAAGACCTGATCTCACACTCAAGTGTGAAATCTATAGCATACTACAGAGTATTATTTATCTTTGTGTACCCAGTAATTGACAATTAGAAGGTTCTCATTTAATGTTTTGTTATTTTTAATTGATATATAATTATTGTAAATATTTCTGGCATATACATTATATTTTGATACATGTATGCAATGTGTAGGAATCAACTTAGGGTAATTGGGATGTTATCACCTCAAACATTTATGATTTCTAGTGCTGAGAACATTCCAAATCTTTCTTCTAGTTATTTTGAAATATACATTATTGATTAAACTTTTGAAATGAATTATTACTTATATTATTCCACCCTTTTCTTCAATGATGTTTTCCATTAATTTGTGGTTATTTTCTATTTCTTTCATTACTTATCATATCTACCTTAATAATATGTAATCTTATTCATATAATCACATTTAATAATAAGTTAACACCATAGACAATTAGTGAATTTAGAATAACAGCAGTAAAGATAAATTTTTGAAATACATAATTACTGAAAATTCAAAAGGAGTTTTGTTTAAAATATTTCATCCCATGTAAAACATTAATACAGCATTATAAAAGTAGATTCTGTGAATATATATATTTTAGTGATCAAATAGTCTACTTCCACTACATATCTATCAGCTAATAAATATGTAATTTCAGTAACTTTCAAAATACTTTTTTTTTGTACAGAGTAAGCATTTACTTTATGGAAGTGATTTTTAACATTAAAATATATATGTATAAATCTAAAATCAGCTAATCTTCTGTAATAATTACCTTAGGTTACAAATTCATACATCCATTTTAGTGGTATTTTGTTATTGGGCATGTATTACTTGTATGATGTCTGCAGGTATTGGCTAAAGATTAATATAATTCTAAATCTATAAAATCAAACAAGAATAAATCTTAGGCATAGGAAATTTAGGAGGTTGCACTGGGGCATGTATGTATGCTATGCAATGTCTTAATATTGCAGATAGAGTCCCGGCAATTCAGTTTTATTGCGTTGGAGACTGGAAGAGAATAGATGATAGTAAAACCTGTGTGGAGAATTAGGGCAGAATAAAATCAGGCAGGGAAGAAAAATATGCTGTAGATAAATGCTGAAACAAAATATTGATTTATACCCATCAGCATCAACTCTGGGAAATGGCAGAAGCAGACATATCATGCTGTCATATCGTCATCTCAAGTGGGATGATTCCTTTGGAGCCCATGAATCATTCAGTCTGTGAGGCAAAGAAGCTGATTCTAAAACAGCAATTGATTATTGAAATTGCAATGGTGGCCATACTGAGTACAGAATACATGTGTACACTGGGTGGAAGGAACTTCAGGTAACAAATCAGTCACTTCAGACACACACATAAACAGGATAGTTGCACTGGCAGTTCTTGTCATTGCATCTAGGTAAAAATGATACAAGAATGTATATCTAAAATCCTCAAATGGGGTGATATTCAATTTTTATTCTATTCTCATGATCTCCCTGAAGGTTGTTTTGTTTATATTTTTATAATCTAATATAAAATATCTAAGTCTTTTATGTATTGGAGGAGCAGAATAGCTTTTTTGGGTAGCTTTTACTAGTAAACTTTCACAAAAATCAACGGTGTGATGAACAATGTTTTCTGAAAAATAACTGGCTAATTTTTGTTCACAAAGTGGTGTATACAGTTAAAATGACATTGATCTTATTCTTATATACATGTTCTCCAAGAGAACAAGTTCTTTAATGCCATTTTAACTGTACATACCACTTTATATTAGCAACTCTGTGAATCCCAGAGGCCATAATTGTGTAGTTTAATTATAGTGTTCCTGGAATCAATTTTAAGTTACAAGAGCAATTGTAAATGAGCTGTCAATGAGATCAAATGAATAATAATTGTTTCTCTAATGCATTTTCAAATTAGTCTCAGATTTAGGACATGGACACAGCAAGTATTTGGAAAAATTTAGGAAGTATACAAAATGTTTATTAGAAAGTGATTATTTAGACTTAGTATATAGTTACCACTTCATAAATGTAAATACATTAAAATATTTGCAATCACATTTTTGTGGAGTTATCCACAATTAATAAAACTACTTGTTAAACACTTGGAAGAGTATTTATAATACTTGGCAGAAAGCTTGAAGCAGAAAATTTAACACTGAAATTTTAGCAGTTTTAGCCAATTAAGAAATAAAGATAAATGCATCTTTGGAATGATAAGCTTCCACACTAAGATTTGATTCAATTTACAAAAATTTATTCATATCTGCACTTTCTTCAGTGTATTCCATGCCAAGAGTGCCCCTGTGTTTCATATCAAGCAAGGGAGAAAAGGTACCTTCAACATTTAGTAAAAGTGTATTTAACATAGATGTATCAAATGGAGTGAAATTCAAGGTATTTGATGGCTGCAGTACTGGATTCGGACAAGAACAAAAAAAATAGTTAATACTTTACAGAAGCTTACTATCTAGTAGTATCAGTAAAGTATTCTTCCTACATTACAATAATATAAAAATAGAGATATTATAACCAAACGAATTTTAAAAGATTTATAAAATCAAAGTATAGAAAAAAATACTCTGTTTGGAAGAACTTACAGAAATTTGATAAAGAAGCAAGGGGAAATTTAATTATTTGTATAAAAATGGCATTTTAAGCTTCAAAACAGTTTGAATCCAGGGAAGAGACATACTTCTGGGGAAATAAGGTATAGTTGAAGCTGAAAGTCGTGGGAAAGAAATTTAATGAAAACTTTTGAAATATTTGATGCTGTATTTTTGATCATTGGTAATCAAAAACTATTGATTTTTCTGAGCATTGAAACTTAATACTAATACTGGGCTTTGAAAGAGTTTATCTGAAAGCAATATAATCTGAAGATGGAAAATGTGTAAACAGCATGTTCGATCAGAATTTTGTTACAAATATCTGGATGATAAAGTAAATAGAAAGTGACAGGCCTGAATAGGTACTAGTAAATTATATAACTTGTTAATGAAAGGACTGAGGGAGGAGTATTCAAGGATGACTTGATATATCACAATGAATAGTAAATGATTTAGGAGGAAGAGGATAGAATACAAGAATGAATGTAAAAATATATCTTGGTCTTTTAAAAGGTTTGAAAAGTGGATCAGAGCTCAGGAAGCATATAGATTTGTGTTTATCTACATAGAATAAAGAAAGAGGTAGATTTAATATTGGCGTTTATGAAGTCAAAATGGGTGCCTGGGAAGGAAGAATAACTTCAGAAGTTTTGCCACCATTATTCAGTATTCTTGAAATATTTGTATTCTCATGGCTTGCAGCAACACATTACCTCCAGGAATCTTTTCCACCACTCTGGAAGCTCCCCTCCTCCTTGTATGGAATTACCAGATAGACACTGCCCAAGGATTTTCTTTGTCTGATAAAAGGATGCTATCTGGAAAATGCCTAGAAGATAAGCCCTCCACCCCCACCTTCCAATCTGTAAGTTTTTAAAACTCTGGTTTTGAAAACAACTCTGGCAATAGCTGGGCCTCTTCCTTGGCTTCCTTCCTGCCACCCAGTTCACCCTTAGCTCTATCACAACAGACTGGCTTGGTTCCAATTTATCACAGATGGCCAGGTCCTGACCGCCTGCCATAGTGTCTCTTCTGTTGCCTCTCCTGTCCTAGGAGTGGTAGAGGTCCTATTGTTGCTGGTTTCTAGGTCATCACAAAGACTGCTGTTTGGCTCTCTCTTCAGCTGTATGACCAGTTTTTTTTTTTAATTAAATACCTTCTATTAAGAATAAGTTGTGGGGTTTCTTAAAAGTCTCCAAAATGAATAAAACTATTTTCATCAAGGGCTATGCCACCTGTTATGAGAAATATCATGTAATCCTTACAGAGAACTGATATAAATGTGATAGACTATTTAGAATTGAAGGAGCTTGAACATTAGGCATAAAACCTACTTATTTTACAAATGATGAAGCTATAGTAATGAAAGCCCTACTGCAAATATAGGACAATTCTTTGCCATCTGTCAGAGAGGAAATTTTTTCTTCAATTGAAGTGTATGACTGAGCAGAAGAATCCAAGAACTTAGGAGGCCGTTCCTCAAAAGGCAGCTTTATTTCTTTGAGTGAGGATGAAAGGGGGCTAATATTGTCAAAAGAAGTTGTTATTTAGAAATAGTTTCATTTTTATATAATATGTTAGGAAAAATTAAGATTTCAAGTTTAATGTTTTATTATGTAATTAAATAAAAAAAGGGAAAAAGGGGTGGCTTAAGTTGCTGCAGTTTAAAATATACTATAGAAATTTATAATAATAGCTATACAAAGTTTCAATATCTGGAGATTTTATAAGATCTCATTAAATTGATATTACAAAATGACGGCTGGAAGTAAAGACTAGCAGATGCTATTACAGTCATTTTTCGCTCACGTAATTACATCCTATATAGAGTGGGCAGTTTATTCAGAGGGAGTGTATTGACTCTATAACCAAAAGTTCCATTGGAACCATTATAGGAAGTTGTAATTTAGTATTCAGAGGTTTTTTAATAGTGATTATTGACCCATGAAAATGTAGTCATTATAAAATACAAAGATTACTTTATTATTATAGTTCTAGTTTTTAAACAGGGAAAAATAATAGACAGGGAATCAGAAGGTGTGTTATTGACTATAGCACTAAAAATTCGCAGAGATAGCAGCATGGACAAGGCATTTAATTTCTCTATCACCATTTTATCTAAGAATTGAGGCTAAGAAATATTCTGATAACATCATAGAGTTGATACAAATATAAATAAAAAGCATCTCTCTGTATTATGTACATATTCATACAGAAGCTATATATAGTTGCATATTTAACATCTATATTACATAATAATGTAGATATAAATATTCTGAAGATTATCAGTGTCATTATTTTTTTAAGTTTCAAGGATATTTAATGAATAGATTTGATAACCATAAAGTTGAAATAAAAACCTTATTTAGCTAGTATTATAACTTCCCACACTTTACTTGAAGCTACTCTATGGAAGAACTTTGCTTGCCTTATTTTTATTTTTTATTAATGTTTGTAAACAAATAAACATAAAAATACAGACAATCTAAAAGATGAATGGCCATCAAAATAGATGAATTATTTTCAAAATAATAAATCAGCACTAGCTTTATGAACACTTGACTGGATTTTACGCATATACTCATTGGTTTCATCCAAAACTGTTTTGTATAATTTGAGGAGTAAAAGCATGTTAGGATATTATCTCAGAGTTACAAGTGATTTAGTATTTGGTTTCTCTTTCTCGAATGTGATATATAAAGTTTTATCAACTTTTATCACAGTGAGGTATCCGAACCCTTATATTTAACACTGGTTAGACAGCTATTATTATCCATTTTATAATAGTTTGCTACCAACGCCTTAAAGATCACATATTCTGCTTACCCTCATTGTACATTACTCATTGATTTAAATAACATAAAATTAAATAAAATATAATAAAACATTATGATACATCCAATTCCTTTTCATATTTGAGCTAAAGTTTAACTAGGAATTTCAAGGAAATTGTGCAATGAACATAGGGAAAATCGTTTTTAATTTTTATCCAATGAAACTATAGTGTAGAAATTTAATAGATATTCAGAAAAGATCAGTTCATGGTATGTTGCCACATTATATGATCTAATAGTATGGCTTCATGAAAATATAGATGAATAAGGGTCTAATGTGATGACCAATAGAAAAGCAAAAAATTAGAACATATCTATCACTTGCGTGTTCTAGTTGTAAGAGTGCACAATGTTCCTTTTACTATTTCTAGGTTCACTACTTGACAACTTTTTTTGGAAGAAGGGAAAGAAAGAAAGGAGGGAGGAAGAAAGAGAATAAGGAACAAAAGGAGAAAAGGAGGAAGGGAGAAAAGGAAAAAGGAAGGGAGAAAGGAAGGAAGAGGGAAAGAAGGAAGGAGAAAGATATAAATGCAGATGTAAAGAAAACTAAAATGCTTAGAAGATATTAACAAATATTGTTGCAGCTTCTGATATTTAAACTCTCTTAGCCAAATATAATGTAGATAAATTAGAAATATATAAATATTTCCTCAAACACTTCAAAAGAAATTATTATCCTGATATGCTTACTTGGATCAATCTTAACTCTTCAGATGTGGAAGTGAATCTGTGCCTTACCGTCAACTATATACAACTGGAACACTAATTTATTAACTAGCAATAACAAATGTAAGTTTCCTGAGGACCTGGAAAGCCCTACTTGCATGAAGAACATAGCTGTGAGTGCCATATGTCTGTGGAAACAGGACATGTTGAATGACCATAAAATTAGCACAAAATGAATAACTGATGTAACTTAACTTTTTCATGGTGTCAAGCTTTAAACCTGTATTTCCACAATAGTATGTATAATACTCAGGGCAATATTATTTAATTTGGTTCTACATCCAAATGAAACAATGAATCTGGTAAATTTAAAAACTGCGGTATCAAATACAATTTCAGTTTACTTAAGTGACTAGATTACATCTGTGAGAACATAAACATTAAAATATTTTAGTAAAAAAAAACGTAAAAAATCATCATTGGTTCAGCTAGGTAATTGGAAACATATATATTATTTTTCTTCTTCAATGGACACTAGCATTCCCCAGAAGAAAGGAAAGTTTATGTTTACAAGCTGATAATGAGATTAAATGACTAACCTGATTGATTTTAGAATGCTGATACAGATTTAGAAGTCACTAACATATAACCTGAAAGTAATTTATGTACTTACAAACTAATAGGTGATCTCACAAATTTAGCATAGCAAACCCAAACAAAGCTTTATGTTTTAATATGTTATTCTTTCAGAACTTTGGACATTAACTGCTTGCCAAATTTGAGAGCAGAGATGAAATTTAAACTGGCTGTGATTTTCCTTTTATAAACTTGAAATTATATTATTAAACACCTATATTATGTGTTTAAAGAAAACATTTCATTTATTTACTTTGGTGAAAACTACTGATAGTCCTGAAGGCCTAAGAATTACATTTTATTTAAAATTATTCAATTTCTTGGGCATACCTAACAGTTTGAAAATGCAATAAAGACTTTTTGGTCATAACTTCAGGTATTATAACAGTGAATCTAAAAAGCTACACAATATACCTTTTATAGTTTGCATTTTGTTTTAATTATTTTAAGTAAACAGACTATTAAATAATGTTGGCAATTTAGAAAATCTGTCTCCTGACAAAACAACAACTAATATACATATATATATATATATATATATATATATACATTTTTTTTTTGAGACAGTCTCGCTGTGTTGCCCAGGCTGGAGTGCAGTGGTGCAATCTTGGCTCACTGCAACCTCTGCCTCCCGGGTTCAAGCAATTCTCCTGCCTCAGCCTCCCAAGTAGCTGGGACTACAGGCACATGCCATCATGCCTGGCTAATTTTTGTATTTTTAGTAGAGACAGGGTTTTACCACGTTGGACAGGCTGGTCTTGAACTCCTGACCTTGTGATCCATCCACCTCAGCCTCTCAAAGTGATGTGATTACAGGCGTGAGCCACCATGCCCGGCCACGAATATATTTTATTGATTTGAATATATATATATGTATATTCGTATAGTATATAATATGTGTGTGTGTGTGTGTGTGTGTATATACATATGTATCATGGAAATTGTGCAATGAACATAGAGAAAATGTTTTTGATTTTTATCCAATGAAACTATGGTGTAGAAATTTAATAGATATTCAGAAAAAGGTTAGTTCATGGTTACGTTCCCACATTATATGATCTAATAGTATGGCTTCATGCAAATACAGGTTAGCAAGTAAATATATTTATATTTTTGTTTACTAAGTCAAGTTTATTAATTCATTATTTCTTCTTTACTTGATTCATTCCCTTAGCAAAAACATTAAGGTCTTAAGGGTTTATTCAGGCTTCACATCGTTCTTGGTAATAGAAATAAAAAAAAAAAACATGTAATGTTGATCCCCTGTCCTTGTGGACAGCAAGTTTTCTTGCCAGGGAGCAGGCAATAGGTAATGATACTTTGAAGAAAAGTAAAGTAGGGTAGAGAGAAAGAGATTGTAGGGGTACTGTTTAGAGTGTTTAGATGTTGAAAGTTGAACAGATGAAGATGTGAGGACTTATCAAAATGAATCACGGCAGACAATTTTTATAATCGACCATAGAGGTAGTAAACAGATAACTTCAACAACCGTGATACAAGTGTATCAAGTTATCCAGAAAGTTTTTGATTAAAGAAGTGATACCTGTGTTTGCACTCATTTTTAACATCTAATTTAACTATAAATATGGAAGAAGACTGTTTCAAATATCAGTTTCACAGAGTAAAACTGTTTGTTTATAAAATCTGGTATTTTGAGGAAGCTGAAGATAGGTCCCCAATCCCTTCTAGTTTGTAGGGTTTGTGCTGAGAAATCTGCTGTTAATCTGATGGGTTTTCCTTTATAGGTTATCTGGTGCTTCTCTCTCACAGTTCTTAAGATTCTTTCCCTCATCTTAATTTTGAATAACCTGATAACAATGTGCCTAGGAGAAGATCTTTTTGCAAAAAATTCCCCAGGTGTTTTTTGTGCTTCTTGGATGTCTAGGTCTCTCGCAAGGCCAGGGAAGTTTTCCTCGATTATTCCCTCAAATATATTTTCCAGGCTTTTAGAATTCTCTTCTTCCTCAGGTACACTGATTATTCTTAAGTTTGGTCATTTAACATAAACCCAGACTTCTTGATGAATTTGTTCATATTTTCTTATTCTCTTTTCTTTGTCTTTGTTGGATTGGGTTAATTCGAAGACCTTGTCTTGGAGCTCTGAATTTCTTTCTCCTACTTGTTCAATTTTATTTCTGAGACTTTCCAGGGCATTTCGCATTTCTAAAAGTGTGTCCAAAGTTTCCCGAAATTGTATTGTTTTTTCTTTAGGCTGTCTATTTCCATGAATATTTCTCCCTTCTTGTATCATTTTTTTTTGGATTTCCTTGCATTGGGCTTAACCTTTTTCTGGTCCCTCCCTGACTAGCTTAATAACTAACCTCCTGAATTCTTTTTGAAATAAATTAGGGATTTCTTCTAGTTTATATCCATTGCTGGCGAACTAGAGTGATTTTGGGGGGTGTTGAAGAGCCTTGTTTGTCATATTACCAGGGTTGGTTTTCTGGTTCCTTCTCATTTGGGTAGTCTCTGTCAGAGGGAAGGTCTAGGGCTGAAGGCTGTTGTTCAGATTCTTTTGTCCCATGGGGTATCCCCTTGATGTAGTACTCTCCCCCATTTCCTATATATGGCTTCTTGTGAGCTGAACTGCAGTGGTTGTTGTCTTTCTTCTAGGTCTAGCAAACCAGTGAGTCTGCCCACCTTAGAGTTGGTACTGGGGGTTGTCTGCGCAAGAGTCCTGTGATGTGAACCATCTATGAGTCTCTCAGCTATGGATACCAGTGCCTATTCCGGTGGAGGTGGCAGAGGGTACACTGGACTCCATCAGGGTCTTTAGATTTTCTGGTTTAATGCTCTCTTTTTGTGCTGCTTGGCCTCCTGCCAACAGGTGGAGCTTTCAGGAAAGAAACTTTTCCCACAAACAGACCTTCAGCTTCTCCAGTGGGTCTGTGTGTTTATGAGAGGAGGGTCTCCCTTCTCCCTTTTCCGCTTCTGCAGTTGGGGCACTCACAATATTTGGAGTGTCTCCCAGGTCTTGCAGGAGCAGTCTCCTTCCTTCAGAGGGTCTGTGGGTCTTCTCAGGATAGCTGGTTTGTTCTTGCAGTTGATCTGGTGCTAAAATTCACAATGCAAGCCTCAGCATGCTGCTATGTCCAGAGCTGCAATCTAGTCCTGCCTCCCATCCGCCATGATCCTCTGAATCTTGCCTAGCAACAAAGCTGTTTTTGAAAAACATTATATAATAAAGATATTTGTTGGCAATACTCAGGATAAAATATATATATAAATATAGATATTAAAAATTGCACAATAAGATTCTAACTTTTGCTGTATTTGGTGAGGCAGAAGATATTCATTGTATTGAACATAATAAAATAAAATATATTTGAAATATACTTGAAATATACTGAGCTATAGATTAGAAAACTAAATAAAAACACAGATATCAAACTCCCACAAAAAAAAATTATCTTAGGCATAGTTTTCATTTCTGAAAATAGAGAGTTTTATACCTTTAAAATATTTGCCAGAATAAAATTTGAGACTATGAATCATTATCAGAATAGCATAAACAGGATTTGTATTGATTAGACCATTTTACAAGTTTTAGTGGAGCTAATAATTTTAATGTCAAATAAATAAAGCATAGCAGTTTCCAGTGAGGAAATGACCTTAATTGCCACTTGCAATGTGGAGAAAGAATGATTAGTAGACACTCATCTTTGCAGTGACCAAACTGTTATTTGATGATGAAACTGATGATCCAATGGACTCCTTACAAAAACATACATGCATTAAATGTAGCGTGTGGATCTATTTATACATAGGCCATCATATTAAAATTAGGCAAATAGTTATTAAAATATCAATTAAAATTCTTATTTTCCCTATAAATTATACATTTTAAAGTTTTGATGTTAGTCTGAAAATTGAGTAGATGCAGACCTGAATGATTTTATTGTCATATTTGTGTTTTATATATTGTATTTGGGTATTATATATTTTTATATATTATTTTACTTTTTGAAGTCATGTCTTAGCCTGAAATATTACTGAACTTCAGTTTTCATTGTGCTTAATAAAAAGCACAATATTATTGCGCATTAAGTGCACTAATACCAACCTAAGAATACTTAATAATGTTATTTTTTGCTAGAAATGTAGTTTCTTCCTTATCATATTTAAGTAAATAACTTAACTGAGGGATAACAAAATTCATGAAATTTTCAGGCTTACAAAATGCTCTCCTGGACAATAAAGATAGCAAACGTGGACTTTTGAATCAAAATTTCATTGATTGGAGATACTACCTCAGAATAATATAATGTTAATGTATGTCTTCTTTTATAAGTCCTCTATGCAATTATATTTAATTTCAGTATTTGGTAGTAATAATATATTGTGTTAAAATGTGTTTGAATGAACTCATTAACTTAAACATCAGTTTGGATATGCTAATTTTTAGAACATATACAGTTTAGAATCTCAGTTGATTATAAAACTCAGGGGAAAAAAGTATTCCTTATTATGCATCTCTGGGTATTTATAAGGTAATGTGTTTGTTTACAGTAACTTAAAACAATAAAATTAGTCAATTGTTAATGCCATTTTTTCATTTATTTTGAATGTTTCAGAAAGGAGACTAATTGCCCAATAGGACTTAATATTGTGCAAATGTTTGATAGTCACCAGACATGCTCCGGTCAGTGTATGGACACATGTTTATTCTTAGGTAGCCTAAACTGTTTATCATTTATGTACACAAATATTTTATTTAATCAGTCTAACATTTATTTTTTACCCACTTAAAGGCTAGCACTATTCTAATGCTTGAGCGGGCCACGAGAGAATAATATAGACACTCAGAGGTCTCCGTTACTCATTTGTAAATGGACGTATTATATCACACCTAGAGCTTTTCTTGGATGGTATGACAAAAATAGTTTCTTATGAAATTTCTGCACTGAGCTATTTCAATATATTTCCCCTCCAAAACATCATAAATATTCCACTGCTGTGTTTTTTTCCTACATTTGAAATATATTTCTCCCTTATTTTTCACTGTCAGTATCCTATCGTTCATCTAGGCACAGGTCCAGTGCAACTTTGCTAATAAGCATTTTGTCCTTCCTGTGTACTCACAAAACAGACTTATAGAGAAATACTTAAAGATTAATGGAAACTTATTCTAAACAGATGTTTAAATTTTATATATTTTTATTACAGAAAGGACTGGATTCCATAAAACTGATATTATTCAAAACAACTCTTTTTTATGTAACTCCTCTGGTTACTCTCATTAATAATCAGATCTTCTTATTATCTGTATGCAATCACTATCACTGTAAAGACAGCCTTCTGCATGTGAGTTTCCTTTCTTTAAATTGTTTCTCCAATTCCTCACTGGAGTAACCCCTCATTTAAGATGTGACCCTCTCCCAGTCACTAATGTATTTCCAATCATCTTTATGTGCCATCTCAGAGGATAAAAATTCTCTGCCCAGTGAATCTAATTCTTCAACAAGCACAACCAATTATAGGTAAGGATTTAGCTCCATCATCGAGACTTCGACCTTTTTGCAACTTGACACTTTACTATCTTTTGTGATGTAGGTCTCTTACCATTTTTTTTTCCCTTTCTACTCCAATTATTCCTTCTAGTCTCTGTTGTTGGTCCTTTTTTTAAAATATTATTTGTAATTAAAGGTTCTTTTTAAGTTGACATTTTCAACCAATGTGCTCTCGCTTTATTTTCTTTATATTCATTGTTTTTAAATTGCAATTTTCTACGGATACCAGACATATATATACAGTCTTGTGTTCACCTGAATTTAAGACATAATATCCAAATGATTAAAGATGTGATATTTTTATAATCACCTGTTCCCAATCCTATTCAAGGCAACATAATAAATAACTGAGGCCAGTTTGCAGGAGCAGTTCAAGTAACCTTTCAAGCCTATGCTTTAGGAATTTTGTTATGATCTTTTTAATTTTGATCTCATCAACTTATCAACTTATCAATCTCTCTGTAAATAATTTGTTTTCTTAGCCTTACTCTTTCAGATTGAAGTTACATTATATTACCTTTTAAATTTTCCATCTCAGTTCTGCCCCTAAATCTAGGGGCAGATGATTCTTACTGCAGTAGTCTGAAGTGTAAAATTCATACCTGTAATCCCAGCAGTTTGGGAGGCTGAGATGGGCAGATCGCTTGAGGTCAGGAGTTAGAGACCAACCTGGCCAATAATGATGAAACCCCATCTCTATTAAAAATACAAAAATTAGCTGGGCATGGTGGTGCACATTTGTAATCCCAACTGTTCAGGAGGCTGAGGTAGGAGAATTGCTTGAACCCGGAGTTGGAGGTTGCAGTGAGCCGAGATCACGTCACCACACTCCAGCCTGGGGAACAGAGTGAAACTCTGTCTCAAAAAAAAAAAAAAAAAAAAAGTTTCTGATGTTCTGCATTTTTTCTCTTCCAAGTAGAAACTTCTATTAGATTTATTAAATTCTGTGTAGTTGCTTTTCATTTCAAGAAATCTGAAACAACTAAGTTAATACCTATTTGTTTTTGTTTTCCGTGACTCAACATTGCTTCTCCAAAAAGTAATGTATTAATGCAATGTGAAATTAGTTGTCAGCTTTGTTTTTCAATGAATTTTTGTTTACTGACATATGGGAGGACACTCAAAGCATCACATTACTTTAAAGTCAATTATTTTAAATTCTTGCATGTTCCCTTAAGTATCCCTTAAGTATCCCTTATAACTTAATACTAATAGACATTAAAATTCCTCAGCAAGAGGCATTCTGAAATAGACAATGCCATTTTGATATTAAAAGTGTAGAGTTAAATTCAGTATTTGAACTTAGCTTACCAACAATATCAGCATTATATGGATAAAAGTAATTTTTTTAATTTAACGATTGCTACATAGTTCATATTTTATCTGAAAACTGCAGCTACTTATCTTGAATGATGTTGATGAGTGCAACCATAAATAAGATTTGCTTTATTTATCTGAGAAAAGATTGTTCTGAATAAAAAGTAATTAATATTTACTTTCAGTCTGAGAAGTTGTACTGCATTATATTACATTTAGCTTAGTAAAATACAGTGGAATAGTAAAAATAACAAGATAACCATATCCATTCCCAACACTGAAAACAAAAAGCATTGAGAAGATACTTATTATTCTTACTCTTTATCTGTCTCTATCTATGGATATGTATAAATTTGTATATTTTCATCTGTTTGACAATTTTGTAAGAGTATGATCTTACAAATAATGAATTCTTCTGGTGAACTTTGGCTTTTTATATTTTATTTTATTGTATCTTATTTGCTTTTTTAAAAGGAAAATATAATCTCATATTCATACATTACAAATTTGTCTTTTAACACCAATCATTAAAGAATTAGACATTACTTACTGTGAAGAGACTTCAATATGCTTCTTGTTTGATCTCTAAATCCTTCACAGACTTATATTAACTTTTCTCTTCCCTTCTATTCTACATTAAATAATGTTTTATTATTCAACAACAAGTCTTTTGAATGTAATTGTAAATCAGATAAACATACTTTTGATAGTGCCATCCTTAATAAGAATATTACTCATTGACATCTATGAACTTGAATTTATACAGTTCCCAGAATATCATTACAGCAGCCATGCAAATCATTATGTACTCAAGGCCTGAGGGAAATAAATCAGTCTTAAGAAAATTAGTCAGCAACTTGAAGTCCTTCAGTGGTTACAGACAGGAGTCATAATAAAATTCAAACTCCTTACAGAAACCCTGCTTTGATTCGAACCCTAACTGTCCTGCTTCATCTCCTTCACTTTCCTTTGTTTTGGTCCAGTTTTAAGTAAATTTCTTCAATACTGTTGGCAATGTGTGTCTATGCTTTGCACAGCCCTTCCCTCTGACTAGCGTGCCCTTCCTAAGTTTTAGTCCACGTGTCTAAATCTTGCTATTCTTTCAAGTTTCTCCAGAGGGTAATTCCTTGTAAGATAATAACAGTAGAGTTTCATATAAGCAATTGCACAGAACTGGCAACATGACAATAAATAACAATGGCTTCTGTCCTGAAGCGGCTATCCACTGGTTTTGATTCTTCATTCTCGGTCTGACCTTCTTTTGTGTCCCCAGAACTATGTTTGCTTATTTTTGTGGCAGCACTTAATTCCCTAGCTATAATATACATCTTCTTGTAAGAATTCCCAATAAACTCTAAGCTCTGTTGTAGTAGACAGTGTCTTTCATCTTCAAATCTCAAGATCTGTCACAGTCACTGACAAACACTAGGCCAACTACAAATATTTATTGAATATATTAATGCATAAATGAATGAATGAAGTGTCACATTAACCAGCTTCAAAAAGAGGAGGGCATATATAAGTGAACCTTTATATACATGTATCTCATTTGTATGTAAGCATTTTTTACATTTAACCATTTAAAGTATAAGTCTTTATAATATCCTACCCATGTAAGCATGTTTCCCAGTAATGTAATTATATTTTTGATGAGTTTTGATTATCATTCATAATGATTATTTCTGTACCTGACGAGTGAATTATTTAAGGACACTGGAGTTAGCAAGGTATTCACATTTTCATTTATTATGACAGACTGTTTTTACTTATCTTGAGACATTAACTTGAGTTCCTGTTTATTTAAAACAAATTTTGTCATTTCTACAATTATAAGTATGAATATGGCTTTAGCCTATTATCTTGGTGAGCACTTAGGAAACTTCCATGAACTCAGATATCTATTTCTAAGATTGAAATTTTGCACACTAACAAAGCACTAGGGAACATACTAAATGAAGTATTGAAAGGAGTTCCCATTAGTTCTTTGAAAATGTCTGTACTATCTAGAAAGAAGCTTTTATAGTTTGTTTTTATTTGTTCTTAATTATCAAATGCTCTGCTACCTGATGTGTTCTAGAACTACACTTTGTAGTATGATAACTAGTAGCCACATGCAGCTATTTAAATGTAATTAAAAGTAAATAAAACATAAAATTTACCTTTTCAGTTGTAACAGTCACAACCCAAATACTCACTCAGTAAGCATCTGTAGCTAGTGCATACTGTATTGGACAGTACAGTAATAAAACATTTCCATTATTTCATTTTCATCCCATTAGACATTTTCTTTCTCTTGAAAGTAGAAGAAACTTGACAAGTAAAGCTCTAGTAAGATATTACATTATAAACTACAGCTACTGCGTATTCTTTTGTGTTTTATAATAAATTATATGTACCAATTTTTAAATTATGTACCAATTATGTACCAACTTTATGTAACAATTTTAAATTATGTACCAATTTTCTTTATATGGCCATAATATTTTGTTTGAAATCTTCCATTC
This sequence comes from Homo sapiens, assembly GCF_000001405.40. Classification (NCBI taxonomy): domain Eukaryota; kingdom Metazoa; phylum Chordata; class Mammalia; order Primates; family Hominidae; genus Homo; species Homo sapiens. Next base: position 193,941,818 of record NC_000002.12, read on the forward strand.
AGCATTTCATTTCATAATGCAGAATAAATAATCAGCATCTAGCATTTTCCAGATTCAAATTCCTCAAGGTAAATGAACTCAGACTCCCCTAAAATTTAGAATAGATAATATATTTCCACTTAACAAAACAGTTATGCTTCAATTAAATTTTTTTCTCTACAGTGTGTAGCTTATTTTATTTTTTATTCAAAAACATAAATTATGTGTATATTGCAGGATATTTTAAAATGTAGCCATATATATTACTTAATTTTCAGGTTTTATTTTCTAAAATATTTTTGATAATTAATGTAATATTGAGTATATTGCCTTCTGAAATATAATTTTATTATTATTTTACTAATATTGCGCATATCATAATAACTGAACTACTATACTAGTCAAGTTCCTCAGAATTTCAGGGCTGTGAAAGAAGGGGAAGTTCAGCGTCATTTTCAGCATATCAAGGGATATTAAAATATTTAAGAAGTTGACTAGCAATCTTTAATGTATTTATTCAAGAAATATTTATCGAATGTCTATTATGTGGTAGGCTTTTTTGTTTGTATGTTTGTTTGGGGGATTCAGTAGAGAAAAACGTTGAAATTCTCAATAATTTCTGAGATACAATTTTTTTTCTTGATCCTAGTAAAAACAGAAAGAAAACACAAATATCTTCAACAATAAAGATCTTATGATCTTTATTTGTATAAGATCTTATGATCTTAATTTGTATAAGAATTTTCCTTAGAGACTTTTGTAAAGCTTAAGTTTGTTGAATTTAAGATAAGGTGCTGGAAAGAAGGTAAAACTAATAAAAATTTATTGTACATTTTATCTTTGATAAGTTCCATGGTCTAAATGTTTGTGTTTCACCCCCAAATTCGTATTTTGAAATTCTAACTTTCAAGGTGATAGTTTTAAGAGAGAGTGCCTTTGAGAGGTGAATCGGACATGGGGTCAGAACTCTCATGAATAGAATCAGTACCCTTATCAAAGAAACCCCGGAGAAGACTTATCTCTTCTACCATGTGAAGTTATGATGAAAAGACAGCCTTCTGTGAACCAAAAAAATGGACCCTCACCACACACTGAATCAGTCAGCAGCTTGATCTTGGGCTCACCCAGCCTCCAAAACTAAAAAATAATTTCTGTTCCTTATAAGCTGCCAATTTTACAGCATTTTGTTATAGCAGTGCAATGGATTGAAACAGTAGACAAAATTCCACCCCGACACAATTAACATGACACTGTAAATATATTATGATAAAATGTTTATTCTCCTTTTGGCTATTATATCATTGCTTTATGATTGGAGGAAAGGGAAAATGGAAGAGAGAGTGAATAAGAGAAAAAAAGAAAGAAAAAAATGAAGGAAAAGCAAAGAAGAAACCAAACAAGTAAGCAAGAATAGAGCATATAAATTATAATCGGGAAGGCTTTAGAAATATATTCTGTCTAACTTACAAATCCCTAGCTTTCAGAAACAAAAGGAAAGAAAAAGCAATGTAGAAAGATTAAGGAAAGAAGGGAAAGGAAAAGAAAATAAGATAAAAAAGAGGAATAGAAGGAGGCAGGGAGGAGGCAGGGTGAAAGGAGAAAGGGAGAAATGAAGAGTTTTTTAGAATAATAATTTGCTTTCATCTGAATCTAAACCATATTACTAGTAATCACGGATAAACTCTGAAAAGGCACCTCCTAAATATGCACTTAAACAACTTGACAAAACCTGACAGGTTGGATCCTCCCACTTGCTACATAGGTATTTTCAATGAGCGAACTGATGCCACTAGTTCAATCTGTACTTACGCAAGCTGAAGCAAAGTGGCAGCTTGGCATAAATTCAGACAGGGTTAATGATAGTGAAGCTGGTGGGCTGACAAATGTGGGCAATCTTTAAATGGCTCGTTGAAAGGTTGGCTGCTGAAATGGTAGGCAAAGTGATTCATTTGCTAAAAAGGAAAATAAAGTATAAAATATAATTAACAAAAGAAAACAGACTTTAGAAAATAGATTGTCTTAATTTGCAAATCCCTGGCTTTCAGATGCAAAATAAACTTCCAAAGTAGATTTTTATCTTATGGGTTTAGCATTTACTGAACTAGGACAATTAGATGAGGTTTTTTTCTCTATTCTATATAGAGTCTTTAATTTGACCTTTAGTTGAATTTGCTACTAAAAAGTCTACATAGAAAACAGTAAGAAAAATATAGCTTCATGATTTACAAAAATTGATGCATATTTATTTTACTCTTCTGTTTAAATTAGCACACTGTAAGGTTTGCAATGCTTCACTAATATATATTTGAAAGTAATTGGACAGTTCTAGCCAGATGAAATTGGTTATACAAGTGTAACAATGCAGAACACTGCTGATAACTGTGCTTTAAAAATCCCTAAGTGTTAGTTGGGTTTATTCAGTTATGAATCAAGGTTTCATTTTTATTTCATTAGAAAATATTTTCATAACTATGAGACATATGAACTTAATATGAAATGTATGTATAAGAAAGAAAAGAAAGATGAACTCTCATATTTGTCCTACCTCAGATTTCAAAGTAATTGTTCATCCACACAAAGAAGCTTGTTTTTTGCATTTTAGCTTTTGGGTAGCACATTCTATTAGAAGGAGAATAGCATTAATTGGGTTGTTACGGCTGCAACTAATTAAATATATAAATATCTTTAAGGAGAAAGCTTTTTTGTTTCACTTCTGTCTCACATGAAAATTAACAAACATAAGAATAATTTTTCCCTCATGACTATTATAATTGGAAATAATTTTGGCTAACAAAATTTACTTTGCTACTATTAATCATATTAAAATTATTAAATATCTTAAAGAGGCCTTCAGACAGCATGGAAATTGTAGAATTACATCTTTCTACTGTTTTTGAACTCAGAATTAATAAATTAAAATTTTGAAGTCTCTCACTGTAGCAAAATTTGTTAGAGGAAAGATTTGATAGAATCTGTTGATTTAAATAGCATTTGATGCATATTTTCTCTACAGATATAAATATCCACTTGGGAATTCTAAGAAAGACTTTAGGGATTATAGATGAGTGATGAATTAACACTTTTAATGTTTTTCAAAATGTCTAATACTGTATATCAATATGTTAACCTCCATCATGAATTGAGAGAGAGATTCTAAACTACATATAAATATCAAATCTTCAAGTTCATATTTTAATGAGAATATCTTTCACCAGGTTTTGGTTATTTTTAATGACACATGTTTTGTATGCTAAAGCCCCAAAAAATGTATCAGAATACTTTTAGATGATTCAATATAATCGATCAATTCCCTTCTATTCTAATTGTGATATTTATAGTCATTTGATTTTCAAAAAGAATGTTAAGACAATTCAATAGAAAAAGAATAGTATTTTCAACAAATGATGCTTGGACAAGTTGAATTTCACATATATAATAATGCTGTTGAACTCCATCCGCACACCATACATGAATATTAACTCAGAATTGATCATCATCTAAATGAAAATATGAAACTCCTAGAAGATAATTTAGGTGTAAATGTCATGACCTGTAGTCAGGCAAGGTATGACATCAAAGCCCAATGAACAAAATGAGGAGAGAAAAAGATAAATTTTGCTTTATCAAAATGAAAAACAGTTGTGCTTTGAAGGACATTTATCAAGACATAAAAATGTTAACTCACAGAAATGGGGGAAATACTTGGAAATCATATACCTGATAAGACACTGGTATTCAGAAATCACAAAGATTACTTGTAACTCAGTAACAATAAAAAGACAAATAGCTAAATTAAAACAGCTCATATAATTTGAACGTATATTTCTCCAAAGAAGATATGCAAATGGCAAACAAGCACATGGAAAGATTCTCAGCCTTATCAGCCATTGAGGAAATACAAATGCAAATGACAATGAGATCCTACTTCATATCCACCAGGAAGGTTATAATAAAAAAGGCAGACCATTGCAAGTGAAGACATTAGAATCCTACTACACTTATTTGTAAATGTAAATGGTGGAAGCGATTTGGAAAATAGTTTGGAAGTACCTCAAAAAGTTAAACATAGTTACAAAGTGCCCAGCAAATTTTCTTCTAAGTACATATCCAAGAGAAATGAAAAAAAATGTGTATATATATATATATGTTATATATATAATGTTGCTATGAACATTCATGTACATTTTTGTATGTATATATAATTTTTCATTTTTCTTGGGTATGTACTATATATTTATATACATATATATATATCCAAAAATGTGTGCATGAATGTGCATAGCAACATTATTCATAATAGCCAAAAACTAGTGATAACCCTAATGTCCATCAACTAATGTATAATAAAGAAAATAAAGTATATACATACAATGAGATATAATTTGATGTTAAAGATAAGGTAGTACTAATAATTGCTCGACCTGGAGAAATCTTGAAAACATTATGTGAAATAAAAGAAGCCAGCCATAATAAACCATACATTGTATAATTCCAAACATACAAAAACATATAAAATGCCCAGAATAGAAAAATCTATATATACAGAAAATAAAATAGTAACTAAGCAGTGTGGAAAATGGAGATAATGGAGAATGATTCCTAATGAGTGTAGCAGTCTTGGTGGTGGTGGGGGGTAATGAATATATTTTAAAATTAGAATGTGGTAGTAGATGCACAATTATGTAATATATAAAAATTAATAGTTCATTTTAAATAGGTATTTTTCATATGAGAATTATATCTCAATAAAGTTATTGAACTATAAGCAAATATAAACACACATACAGGTAATTGAAATTTGAGGATTTAATTTCACATACAAACCTATATTGCACAATGTTTAAATCATAAAAAAATTAGTGAAGTAGAAAGTAGACATATAATAGAAAATATTAACAAAGCCCAAAGGTAGATGCTTGAAATAATAATTAAATTTTGAAAGAGTAAGACTAACCAAGAAAAAAAAAGCTGAGGAACACTACTCTAGTAAATGTCATGGCATACACCTATTTGTTCATCTAAAATCTGCAGATGTCATAATGATCCTCTCTCATTCTCTATATCCAATGAATTATAAGAGCTATTAATAGAGTATCAAAACATAAGACTCAGAGTTTGGTATTGAATAAGATCAGGATATGGCATTCCAAACAGTTTGGCATAAGAATTATTTTTAGCAAAAGGCATGTAAATTCCTAAAATTCCTTATTTTATAAAAGCAGAGTCTCCCAAAAGAACTCAATTGTCATGAACACCCTCCCCAGGAGTGACTCTCATCTTCTCAGAGGAGTCTGCATCACACTCTAACATAGTCACTGGACTCCCATATTTCCCATCTATTCTCCTAGGAAAATATTTATTTTATCAAAAAGTCATTTGTTTTTCCATAAGTGCCCTTTCTCTTCCCGCCTTTTCTCAGCAAAGTGTCTGGCCTGAGGACTTAGGATTCTAGAGAGAAAAAGTTTTTCCTTCCCTAAAGTTTTAAGAAATTAAAAGTTTGTATATAATTCTGAATACATATCACAGCAAAACTCACAATTTTCAAAAATCTTCTACATACATTATCTCATCCTCAAAGCTATGGAAAAAGTAGAGAATAATATTAATTATATTATATATATTATAGTACACTATGCAAAGCTATTTGACATATCATTTGTGATTTTTTCAACATTATAAAGAAGATACAATTTGACAAGAATACTTAACATTTTAATAAAAATATTTCTTTGCCAATAACCAGTCTTTTAATATACTGATATTATCTCATTGATTTTGAATGTATTAATTGAAATGCATTTCTTTCTAAATAACTTCTTGATAAAATAAGCCATATTTTCTTCTTTTTGTTACAAATCTGATGTTTTCTTTATAAATAGTTGTCCAAATGAATTTCACAGAGTTGCCTATGCTCTTGAATGTTCAGTTTCCTTTTTCAAATGAAAGCATAAAAAAGAAAAATATATTATTATTTGTATTTGCATATATTTCATTGTAATTTATTTTGGCAACTATAGGAAGTAACTGGCATATGAATAAAAGAGTAATATATATGCATATAAAGAGAGAGGAAGAAGGAAAGAGACCCCACTGTAGTATCCTTACTATCTCAATATTCCTTATGGCACTTGTTTTTGAACATACCTCTTGTAAATAAAATATAACATTTTAATTAATAGATTAGACTTTCATGGATTAAAAGACTTGACATATAATTTTCCTTTTATCTGCTTGGAACAGGCTTGACAAATGATGAATAGTGCTCAGTCTCTATAATTAACTGTCTCTACAACTATCCATATGGACAAGGAATTCTTAAGTTACCCTTCTTGGTTAAATAAATAAAATGTTAGGAATACTAAAAAATGACATTGATCTGTCATGATTTATTCTAGATTATTAATAACTTTACCTTTCTGGTTCTTTTCATGGTAGATCATGAATTTCATTAATATTGGATTTCAAGGAAAGTAAAAATTTGAGTTGTATTCTGTCTTTTTATTGGGAAGGCTTTTAATCTAGTGCCTCTCTCTTTCTCTCCCTCCCTTTCCTCCTCTCCTTCTCTCTCCTTCACTTCAAGATACTCAACATCTTTATTTTGCACCCTTATATCATATTCTCATAAACTTTTTGCAAAGTTTCAAAATGTACGATTTTTCTATTCAAGATTTAGTTGGCTATGACTTCTATTTCTCTCATCATCAGCATACACATTTTTATTTTGATTGATAGTGACTGCTAGTCAGTCCTCCAGGAGGACTGTACCTCCCAAAGGTAAATCTGTCAGCTCAGATTTCTGCTTGATAATGTCTGATTAGGCTGAAAGTTTTGCCCAGTTTTTTTTCTTTCTATTTGATTTCTCATCTTTTTGTTTTAAATTTCTATCTTACTGGCTATTAGAGGCATGTTAAAAGCCATGCCACTAAGGCCTGTAGTAACATATGCTACTGAATGGCAAAGCAGAGGACAGAGATTTGTGGTTTTCTTTAATTTTCTGCCAACAGCTGACATGTTTGATGGGGGAAATGCTTATGGTTTTATTTTGCCATTATTCTGAATCTGCTGTGAAACGAATTCTGCTGTGAATATATTCAATGCAATAACACATTTCTGCTACATTTACACATACATAGATTGAGCTTGGATAAAAATGTATACAGATTTTGTTTTATTTAAATTACTTTTTAACCTATACAATATCCATTTTGTCAGACCAAATAATAATACATACTCCATATTGGCCATACCTGTTAACTCAATGAACGGAACACTAATAGTTGATTTTCCTTTTCTGTGAATAATGTTCTTATAGTTTTACGCAATTTTTCAACAAGTATTTAACATTTCTACTACGCTCAATTAAAAACAGAAGATACATGCCCACATAGACATTTTATTAGTTGAAAGTAATAATGAGCAACACAAAATAAAGTTGAGAAGGAAATTGTGTGACATATTAGATACCGATTGTAATAATAAAAAGAATGATAATATAGTTAACATCTGTCGCTTACTACTTGCCTGGTACTGTACTAGGCATTTTTATGTATTATGTCTTTTAATGTTCGCGATAACATTATGGAGAAAGTGTTATTGCTTCTATTTTATAATGAAGAAATTGGTATGCAAAGAGTTACATGAATTCTTCCAAGTTACATGCCAGAAGTGGCAACACTGCAGTTTGAATTTGTCTCCAGCAATGGACTCCAGAGCTCAAGTGCCTAAGAATGAAAGAGAACATTACATCAAACCACAACAATATACAAATAATTTGTGTATGACACAAGTATGAAATGTAACTGTGTGTGTGTTGGGTGGGAAAAGAGAGGTCAGAGGCAACAATCATTTATTGATCTCCTGTTATGATACAAATATTATATTCACATTTTAAAGCATAATTAGCTCACATTATTCCTGGATTTTTATTGATTTGAATCAACAAAATGTACATGAAAGTTTTCCTGGCAGGCAAACTAGCCCAATTAAAAATAATCACTTTTTAGAGGAAATTAATGACATTAATTTTTTAAATTTATACAGTAGTAGTGTATATAAGTACAAAAAGTTACGCTGAATATAATTTCAAACGCTGCAAAATTTTTTTTGTTGTTACTCGTAACAGCGTCTAAATGTGTGCCATAGTTGCATTGTTCTCATGTTGTTCATGACTTTACACTTCATAGGTGAATACACTGGGATTTTCTTAAATTTTCCTCTTTTAAAATGTTTATCGTGGTATCATGACTTGCGGACTGTAGCCTTGTTTTCAACTCCCTGTCAAAAGAAAAAAAAATCTAATTTAATCTCAAAGTAAATATACTATACAGGTTAATTTGAAAGCTCATTCAAATGTGGTGTCCTCTAAGTCCACTAAAAATATAAAATTATTTATTTTCTATTTTTATAAAGGTAATAATGAATTTATTTTCAGTGCCTTGAAACTTTTCTTGAGACTTGTCTAAAAAGAATGTTAGACTCTTACGCTTCATAGAATTTGTAATGAATTTAGGTATATTTCACAATTGTTAAACGGCAAATGATTGAAGACTATTAAATGCCCTCAAATTTAAAAGAATAAAGGCATATTATATTTTGTGTTTCATAAAAATTAAACCATTGGTAATTGTTGGTTCAATTTTGAAATGTTAATCCAAGAGTCATACTAGGCTCTGATATGTTGATAGTTTGAGTTCTAGGCACAACAGAAAGCATATGACATGTATTTCCCTTTTAATAGTTTGTGTCTCCACAAGCTATTTCCCCCATTAAAACGTACTTTTTTCTAAATCATTTAATTGTAGAAGACATAACATAGCTAACCTATACATGAAGCTGTGATGATATTTAATGAAATAAGAGACCTGCTTATCCTATGATGATATATTAATGCAATAAGAGATCTGCTACATATCTGCTTCTCAGGCTGCTTCTCAGGCTGTATTTTATTATTTATTTTAAAACGCCATATTTTCTTCATTATGAAAGTGATGCATGTTCATAATAAAATACTTATGAAGCACAGAATAACTATAAGAAAAATGTAAATGATGTATAATTCAACCAAGATTTAGTTGGCTATGACTTCTATTTCTCTCATCATCAGCATTCACATTTTTATTTATTTGTTATGATAAACTCAGTTGGAGTTAACAATTGAATAATTTGTATATACCTATATAAGGCATATTTTATTCAGAATATCTCCATGGCATGGTATATACTCCTATAAGGCATTGTTTGGATTGGCATGTTTCCATTTAATATTATTCAATGTTATAATTTTACCATTTGCATAATATTAAATTATATGTCTATTAAAAATTTTACACAGCTAGTAACATGAGATCACTTCCATTTTAATGTGGCTAATGTTGGATTTAATATAATCAATTACAGTGATGTTTGTAAATTTCTCAGGAATTAGTGCCTTATGAATTAGCATATATGTTGAATTTCCCAAGAAGTAGAATTTCAAGACTGAATAATCTATATATTTATTTTTATATAAGATTCTACAGTGTATTCTGATATTTACGATTGAGAACATTACATAAACTCAGCCTTCTGAGTAGCTGGGTTTACAGGTGCCTGCCACCACACCCAGATAATATTTTGTATTTTTAGTAGAGTCAGGGTTTCACCATGTTGGCCATGCTCGTCTTGCACTCCTGACCTCAGGTGATCAGCCAGCCTCAGCTTCCCAAAGTGCTGGGATTAAAGGCCTGAGCCACTGTGCTTGGCCTTCTTGTTTTATTTTTATTGGTTACTTTCTTCTGTGAATTCCCTATGCATTTTTGTTGCCTATTTTTTCAATTAAGTGTTGTTATTATTTATTGACCTTGAAAATATTTTATATGTTAAGATCATGTATATTTCAAATTTCTTCCAAATCTGTCTCTTAGTTTTCTACATGTATTAAACATATCATCACTGCTTTTGAAAAATAATGTATAAAGGAGAGTCAAAAGCATGCCTGATTACAAAACAGTAAACTAGTTGCACACAAAAATAATGCCTGTGTTTTTAGCTATAAATACACCTAAAATGTCTTATTGTGTATCTAGTTATTTATCTACCTATTTATTATCTAAGAACAGTGATACTGGAAACCATGGCTACCTAAAGGCAAATAAACGGAAGACAAAAAGTTCTGTTTTCTGTACAGAACCATAATAACAAGAATTCATAATACTTCCTCAGAAAGTTTATAACAATATTAAATCATTTAAAATAAAAACTTTTTATTTTATTTATTTTATTTAAAATAAAATAAAAAAGATAATAAAAATCATTTAAAATCAAATCAAATCAAAAATCATTTATTTAGTGACCTAAATAAACATTTTTAATTGGTCATTAGTCACTTTTACTCTTTGCTTTAATGAAGTAATTTTCATTTTATCAAGTAAATCAATTCATATGGTATATCTCATTGCTTGTTTACCTCAATTGAAATCTTCACTGCATAAAAAATGAAAGAAAATTATTTGCACCCAATTTATTTTAAAAAGAAATCATATCCTTACCAGAAATGTGTTTGAAAATATAATTTTAATGTTTTCCCTTCTTTTTCACAAAGTAACATTGACTTTTTACCTTTCTTTTGACATTTTTATAAACTAAATTTTTTATTTATTTTGGTTACTTGTAATCTGTCACATCCACATATAAAACATAGAAAAATGCATTCACATATTGATTAACTCTGCCAATCCACCATGATATACAATTGCTATATTTAGAAAAAGATTCTCTGGAAAACTACATATTTTATATATGATTTCATTCTTTGAAAAATATGTATATAACTGATGTATATTAATTTTTCTGTTTAATGATCCAGCAGCCTACAATGCCTACTACAATTATTAAGTGTATTATTTGAGAAATATTTACTCCTGAGGTTTTGTTGTGTTTTTTTTTTAATTAATAACATTTCTTAGCAAATAGCTCCCAGAATTTTCTTGTCTGGCATCACATTTCAAATTTTGCAAATCAGTTCATGCCACATCTGCATTGCTTTTTTAACGTAAAACCTTGCTAAGATCATTACTAATTCACTTACACATTTTTTTTTAGTTTATCATGGAAATAAGATGTTTCAAGTAAGTTACATTTAAACCAATATGCTTCATAGTAACTTAAATAATGAAACTTAAAATTATTTTATTATAGAACCTGGATGTCAGTATTGATATTAAGACAGTGTGTGTCTAACTGTGTGTGTGTATGTGTGTTCTCTGATAAATTATCCTCTGAAATACTCTGCCTTGAGAAATGAAATGATATATTTTAAATGGTACTGTGAAAGTACCAAGCTTGCTGAAGCATTTATTTATTTGAACATAAAATATGAAATTTCAACAAAGTTCTTCTAGAAGTAATAAAATGTGAATCATATGTTTAGAAATGTCCACGTGATATTAAGCCATTGGGTTTTTCCAAGAAAATGTATTTTTAAAAAATAGCACACTTGTTTGGTCAACATGGAGCAGTAATGGCTTCAATTTCTTCAAATAGTTATCTGTTCAAGGAAGAAAAAATCATTAAGCCTTTTTATTTCTCTACAACCAACCACCTAGAACCTCCCAGAATTTAATCTTATAAAGATTAAATTGGAAAAATGTATGTAAAATATTTGGCATACTTCCTGGTGTTTGTGATTAATCGGTGTTGTGTTTCAACTTATTATTTTCCTTAGTTTGTGAAACGATGAGCTGTCAGCCAAAATCTATGTAGATTTCAACTCCTAAAAATAGTAACAAAATGCTAACTGCTACAATATATGGAATTTTAATGTGAGTTGCTATTTAAATTTTGATATTTTACTTTTTAGACTTCTCTAATAATAATAATAAATATATCTATCTTGACTTTTTGTTGCCCTTGGGCTGATGACACTTGGGTTATCAGAGATGGATTTGAGTGTACAGGAATACTTATACTCACATGTATTCTTAGAGTTTTTGTACATCTCAGTATATTATTCATTCATTTGATAAATATTTAATGAGTATTTAAAATCATCAGTTAACTTGTGCACTTCTAGGAATATTGGAGAACAAGGATGAGTTTTTCTACTGATGGAATTTATCTGCCAAAATTGATAGCTATTAGATAATCATGCTAACTAATTTATAGTTGTCATCTGAGATAACTGCTTTGAAGAAAAGAGAGATGATCTTTGTGAGCACACAACAAAGCAGCCTTACTTAGACAGTAGAGTTGCTTTGTATGGGACACGGATGATGCTGAGCGCTCAGTACCAGCTACTCGTATGTGAGCATTATGTTATATTTGTCTTTCTGTCTCCAGTGACAAGCACAGTAACTAGCAAGTAATCAAACTATTTATTCAACTGACTTTATGTGACAAAACTTTTTAAATCACCTTATGTTGTCATCACTATAAGAAGAATAGATATTATTATTAAAATTAATGAATAAAAGCATGTGATCAGAAGATACGTAAATAATTTTGGAAATATATCTTAGGTTTCATGAAGACAATATTTTTAAATAAAATGTATTGTTTATAAAATATTAAGAAAACACTTGCTGTCATATAAACCTATACAAGAATTAAATATATGCTTTTAGAAGCATGACCAGAAAGAAATCCTATTTACCATTTGTTTTACACAAACTTAAGTAGCAAAATTAATTGTGCTCACTAGAACACCAATCACCACATATAAAGATTAGAGTCCTGGTCACATGTTATTGGTATATTTAAATGGTTATAGGATAGATTAGTGAATATCAATGAATATCATAAAATATAATAGATAATGGCACTTCATCCCACTCTTTGTTAGTATATAACCTTTGGGTCATTATATTGCATTCTGTAAACACTGACAAAATTGATTATAGCAGAAGATTGTTGTGGACTGACTTGTTTCTTTTAAAAAATGTTTAATAGATAAGTAGTAAAAACTAAATATTATAGATTAGATAACTAGGAGGTTACGGTAATATCCTACTCCCTCACATCACTTTGCTGTTATCACCAGTTATTTAGGGAAATATAGGTACAGCCATAGGAAGCTAGGATCCACTTAGCTTTAATGGAAAGGATACTCCCTTTGGGGAAAGGAGTTGTGTGGAGTGGGAGGGAGTGGGCTGGCTCTAAGAGAAGAAAGTTTTCTTTCATGCCTTTAAATTAATGAATATCACCTGCAGGTCTCAGCGCTAGGATCAAAAGCTAATGGATTAAAAGTGGGAGTAATTGGTTCAAATGTTAATGAACCTAAAAGATTATCAGGAACATTCAAGGATAATTTTGTGGTATTTCATGTTGGCCTTTTAAATAATTTAAAAACAACTGTTAGTTGTTGAAAGATATACTATCTATACACTTTTAAGGTTTTACAATTGTTAATATCCCATCAATACATGTTATGACCATTGGAGTGTGTTTGTTCACAGGGTATATTTAAATAAATGTTAACAGTTTAATCATCATGGCTTCTTATTTCAAATACTGCTAATATGGTGTTAATCTACATTGCATAAACTGTATTTAGTGAAGTAAACAAAGCTATTTTAAAATTTAATTGAACAAAATTCATATAGAACAAAAAGCAATCATAAATTTAAGCAACGTTTAAATTTTATACTGGGTTTTGAGCCACTGTTGACAATTTTTAATTTTGATTTTTAATTTAGGGTTGCTTTATTTGATATAGAAACTATTAATAATGTGGTAAATATGTAAGTTGTATTAAATCAAAAAATTCTAAATGTCAACAGCTATTTGTACATTTCTATGTAAATGATACAATTTTCTAGTTTGTAAAGATAGCTTTTGGTGGCCCTTTAAATTAAAGACAGCTTTTATTTAAATATATTTATGTTAACTACAAGATTAAGTTTGATAATAAGTCTCTAAAGGAGGTATTTTATATGCTTTTTTGTATATAAACCTGTGAAAAATATTTCTGGAGTTCTAGAAAACAGTATTGAAAAATTCAAGTATTGGAAAGTATATGACAATATAAATAGAAAAAACTATATAGCTTCAAAAATAGAAACAAACATATAAATATTTATTACAAATGATATACTACACACTTACATCTTTGGTTAAATACACAAATATATATTTTTAGTTAATTAAATCTTTGTGCTATCAATATGAATTTTCAACATTATTGCTGCTGCATATGTCACGATAGTCTTTTTTTAACTTATTATTTTTTCAAAACCCCTGTAATAACTTTCATTTACTCCTTTTTGTTGATATGTTTTGTCTTCTTAGTACTTTTACTTAACCTGTTTCTAAATATATGTCAATTTTATTATTTAAAAAAACAAGATTTAGTTTCTTAGATTTCTACTGTATTTTTTCTTGTCTATTTCATTGCTTTCTTCATTTATTTTTGTTTTTTTCTTCCACTTTCTTAAATTTTTTTTTTTTTAGTTTCTTGAGTTGAAGACAGATAGAAATTCAGATTACAGATAATCAGCCTGCCATTATATATCTGGAGAGAGAAATATTTGAGGATTTTCTTTTTTTATTTAATTTCTAACTTTAAAGTTCAGGGGTACATGTGCAGGATGTAGGATGTGCAGTTTTGTTGCATAGGTAAACGTGTACCATGCTTGTTTGCTGCACAGATCATCCCATCACCCAGGTATTAAGCCCAGCATCCATTAAATATTCTTCCTGATGACCTTCCTCCTCCCACCCCCAACCATCTGACAGGTCCCAGTGTGTGTTGTTTCCCCAGGTGTCCATGTGTTCTCATCATTCAGCTCCCACTTGTAAGAACATGGGGTATTTGTCTTTCTGTTCCTGTGTTAGTTTGCTAAACATAATGGCCTCCAGCTCCATCCATGTCCCTGCAAAGGACATGATCTCGTTCCTTTTTATGGAGGTATAGTATTCCATGGTGTATATATACCACATTTTCTTTATCCAGCCTATCATTGATGGGCATTTAGGTTGATTCCATGTCTTTGCTATTGTGAATAGTGCTACAATGAACATACATGTGAATGTATCTTTATAATAGAACAATGTATATTCCTTTAGGTATATACCCAGTAATAGGATTGCTGGTATGATTCTGCTGTGGTCAGAAACATATTTTCTGTATATTTTACTAATTTAAATTTTTTCTGACTAAACTTAAGGCCCAGGATATAGTCCATTTTGGTAAGTATTCTTTCTGTACTTGTAAACAATGTGTGTTTTGCAGTTGCTGGATGGAAATTACATGTATTTCAATGTCTTTACACTTTTTGGTGATTTTATTCAGTTCCTAAAAGTAGGGTGTGTTAAAATATTTAAGTGTGCTGTAGATGTGTCTATTTCTCGTACTAGTTCTATATCTGCTTTTGAATTGTTTGTTATTGATGTTACATTCACATAATATAAAATTAAATCTTTTAAAGTGTACATTTCTATGAGCTTTAATAATAGTGTATAGCTACTACCTATGTGAATTCCAAAATATTTTAATCACCCCAAGAAAAAGTTATTTCTAACATTTTACTTTTATTTCTGATTCAGTAATTGCTGGATTGCTATAAAAGTTTAATTTTTTAATATAATTTCAGCTTTTATTTTACATCTAAGGGAAAGAGATGCAGGTTTGTTACATAGCTACATTGCATGAAGCTGGGGTTGGGATATGAATGATCTTGTCACCCAGGTAGTGAACATAGTACCCAATAGTTAGTTTTTCCTTCCGTGCCCTACTCCCTGCCATCTTTATGCCCACGAGTACCAAGGTTTAACTCCTACTTGACAACAGCAAAAATAGCAGAACAGGCAGCTCCAGGGGCCTGTTCTTCCACAGAAACACCACTCACTATTTCTAAATAAATATTCTTCAGTTTTTGTTTTAAAATATTTAAAATTTTATATACTTTCTGAGGAAATATACATTATTATTATTATTGCCCTGGACAGACAAGACAGTCTTTTGTCTTCCAATTTATATGGCTTTAGGTAGCCATTCTTTCCAAATATTACCTTTCAAGTTAGATATGTTAGATGATCGATAGATACATAGAGAGAGAGAGAGAGAGAGAGAGAGAGAGAGAAATAGATAGGGGTAAGGCATTTTTAGTTATATTTATAGCTGTAAAGGCAGATCTTGTTTTTGTCTGGTACTACTTGACTGTTTTGTAACCATGCCTGCCTATGAATTCTCTTTATTCTTCATTTTTCAAAAGCAGTGATGCTATGTTTAATACACATACAAAATTAAGAGACGTTTTAAATTTGGAATACATTTAAAACATGGGTTATCTTGACAAAGTTGATTCTGACAGATTGTGCTAAATTTATTAGTGTTTCTGTGGGGGGATGGGCCCTTAGAATTCCCTATTCTTCCATTTCTGCTGATGTGTTACTACATGCTTTTGTATTTTAAAACTGTATTATGAATTGTATATACATTGAGAGTTGAAATATCTTCTTGCCTAATTTAGTCTTTTATCATTTAGGAATATCTATCCTCATCACTAGTCGTATTTTATAGCCTAAAATCTAATATGCTTGATATGATATATTAACTCTGTGTATTAAATATATATCAGTTTTTCTGTGAGCTTAACTTTTTTAGTATATCTTTCCCTTCTTTTACTCTCAAATAGTCATGCTCTTAATATTTGTATGTCTCTTGTATGCCTCATATTATTTGTAGTGTATCTTATTCAGTCTAAAAATATTTGCTTTGAAAAGAAAGTAGAGGAGACCTATATAAATAGTAGAATTTATTATATTAGTGGTTTGGAAGGCCCAAAACTGTAGTTATTATATTTTCCCAAATTGATTTACATATTCATTACTTTTTCAATACAAATTCGAGTATTGGAAAGAAAGGGTACTCACAAGCTGATTTTTAAAATGTAGACTTTTTCCTTGCTCCTTTGGAGTTTTGCTATGCATTTGTCTAAATGTGATTTCCTTTCTACTTATCTATTTATTCTGCTTGGAGTTCAAAGAACGTGATGAATCTTTGGCATTTTGTCCATCAATTTTTCAGTATATCTTCAACTGTTGCCATTGACACATTCATTCTACTGCGTCTTCTGGTGCTCCCGTAATGTATATGTCAGGCCTTGTCACTGATTCCCATGTGTCTGGTAGAATATTTTTCTTTATCTTATCTTTTTTCTTCCCTCTGTGATTCAGAAAAAATATATTTTCTGTCAACCTGTATTTTAGCTTAAACATCTTTTCTTCCTGTTAATCTACTGTTGAAATACAATACTTTTAACTTCAGTAATGATCTTTGTAACTTTTAGTATTTCTATTTTATTTCATTTTCCATTTATCAATTGAGCATTTTGATTGAATTTCTTTCCTTAACATGTAAATTATACTTCTTTTTGCCACTTTTTATTTTTATTTATTTATTTATTTATTTTTATTTATTTTATTTTTTTTGAGACGGAGTCTCGCTCTATCACCCAGGCTGGAGTGCAGTGGCGCGATCTCGGCTCACTGCAAGCTCCGCCTCCCGGGTTCACGCCATTCTCGTGCCTCAGCCTACTGGTAGCTGGGACTACAGGCGCCCGCCACCACGCCCAGCTTATTTTTTGTATTTTTAGTAGAGACGGGGTTTCACCGTGTTAGCCAGGATAGTCTCGATATCCGGACCTCGTGATCTGCCCATCTCGGCCTCCCAAAGTGCTGGGATTACAGGCGTGAGCCACCACGCCCGGCCCTTTTTGCCACTTTTTAAAATGTTTGTCTTAGAGTTTGCAATATACATTTACAACTACTCCAAGTCTATTTTTAAACAACATTGTACAACTTCATGGATAATACAAGTACCCTATAATACAGGTAACAATGTATTTCCAGTTCCTTCTTCTATACTTTATATTATTCCTGTCATTCATTTCACTTATCCATAAGCTATAAAGCTATAATCACAGAATACATTGTTTTATTATTTTGAACCAAACATTATTTGGTAGATCAATTGCTAATAAAAATAATAGTTTTTCGCCTGGGCCGAGACGGGCGGATCACGAGGTCAGGAGATCGAGACCATCCTGGCTAACACGGTGAAACCCCGTCTCTATTAAAAATACAAAAAATTATCTGGGCGCGGTAGCGGGCACCTGTAGTCCCAGCTACTCGGGAGGCTGAGGCAGGAGAATGGCGTGAACCCGGGAGGTGGAGCTTGCAGGGAGCGGAGGTCGGGCCACTGCACTCCAGCCTGGGCGACAGAGCGAGACTCTGTCTCAAAAAAAAAAAAAAAATATATATATATATATAGTTTTTCTTTTGCTCTCACTCATTACTTCACTTATGCTCTTCCTTTATGTAGACCTCTCTTCTGTCTCTCTGGTAACTTCTAGTCACCCTGCCCATAGACAAATTTTCATAAGTTGAAAGCTAAAATGATACATAATTCCGCAGTGTATATATATTATTTTTTGATAATTTTGTCTTCAAAATATTGAAAACTGATTTACTTCCCTCTACTAAGTTACCTGTAAGAAAGTGAACATAATTCTTCATTGTAATTGTGTTTTTAAATACAGAATATGGCCACTGTATCAGGAAAGGGTTTGGCCAGATTCTGTTTTGATTACTTTCAGGATCTGTAATATCAATATAATGAATTTCATATTTTCTTTGTGTCTAAGTTCAAATAGACGCACTTACTGACAAGCTCTGCATATTTCAGTAATTACAATGCCTCTCTAAAACTATTTTCTACTCTATAAAAAGAATAATAATATTATATACCTCACTTGCTTTTTGTTAGTGTTTAACTTATACCATATACTGTATTTAGTTACTGCTTGACTGTACTTAGCATACTTCTTGACAAGTATTACTCAATAACTAGCCAATTTATGAATATTACTATAATTATATTCATTGCTAATTGCAGAAAATTTTTAGGATCTTTTAAATTGCATGGCATCATTAGTGTTGATGAGCCAATTTTACCAACTTAAAATAAGAGCTCCCACCTATTTATTAAATTATTGCTAAAATTACTCTGAGATAGTTCTGCATCTGACATCAGGGATTTTACTATTATAACTTGCATTTGTGTCACCTTGGACTATTATAAATAGGAGGTGACAAATATGTAAACTATATATTATGTTTTATGCTTGTTCTTTTCAGTTTCTTTAACATTTCATACAGTGCCAGACTGAATTAGCTATTTCTGTCTAATTGACAAATGCAACAATGTATTGGGCTAAGTGCTTAGAGAGTTGCAACAAGAGAGATTTTTTACTTCAGTGTCAAGATCCTGTCACTGCTGCAGGCTATTTACCTTGTTTCAATAGCAAGGTCACCATCAGAGTCACCTGCCTTTTTGGATATGAAAAACTTGTTGGCAGAAAAGACGTTTGGAATTCTTACAGCTGGTCGAGAGGGACAGAAGATTTCAATATGCTGCATATGACAAAAAATAGATTTTGGGTTTTTTCCCCCTACATAGCTGACTTTGTTTTAGCTAGTGTTGTTACCTTTGCCTCTGCCATTATTTATACCTTGGATAATGACAGAACAGGCCCATGTCTCAGCGTTTCAGCCATTTTTAGCCAGAGCACATATGCAATATGATTTCATCAATGTGTTTTGCCTTATATTGGCTAATGATGTTTATTTTCCTTATATTGGCTCACAAGATTCTTTTTGTTTCATTTTTACTCATCTGTACAAGTCATCTTTTTTTTTTACAAAATTTAACTTTCTGTTACATAATTTTATTCTAACCAAATATATGTGTAATCTTTCTCCAAAATCCATCTCCTCACTTAAAAAATTATTACTCCCTTCTCTATTATATATGTTATGAATGTTTCCCATATGAGTTTTTTTTACTTTTTGATTATGTTTTTACAAATCAATTGTATTATTATTTATCAACAGTAAGCATTATTATTAATGAACAATAGTTAATGCACTAAACTAGACAGCATAAAGAATCAAAGAACTATGATTTTTCAGTTTTCACTTTCCTCATATTTGTACATATAAAGGAACTAATATCCTTCACACCAAGGCTTCATCAGAGGTCTGATTTATGACAAACACCAGGAGGCACAAAATTGAAAAAAGCATCAGCCTCTGCAGCCTGTAAAGATTGGGATACATTTTTGTTGGCTGTAGACTCCATATTTTGTGGGTCACGTTTAAACTCCATTGCAGATCCTTAGTCTCTGGTTTCTAATCTCCCTGTTTACCCTATTGGGTAGGTTGACTCAGGTTATCACCTTGTGTTTTTGCCTTGTTTTGCTGTTTCTTTTGATGATAAGTTCTCTCTAAAATTGTAACTTTCCTATGAATATCAGCACAAACAAAAAATAAAATATTTCTCTCTGGCACACTGCAGTTTAGATTTTTCTACACTTGAACGCCTTTAGTTCCTGAGAGAGCTTCTCCTAAATTGAGGAAGAACAAGTTTGGGTGTCTGTCTCAGGATGTGACATGAGAGGACACTGAAAATCAGGTATACGTAAGCTGAAAAACGTTTCAAAAAGGAGAGAAGATTGAGTATAACCAAGAATGTCAAAGGAAAATGTTCACACTGGTTGTATGCTCACTAAATCCCTAGTCCTTTCCGCTTGTGAACTTTCACACCTTTATAATTAAATAGGCACCATTCTTATCCCCATTTTATAAGTGAGTAAATCAAGTCATAGAGAGGATAAGTAACTTAAGGTCTTGCAGTCAACAAGTGGTCACAGCAAAATTTGAACCCTAGCAGTTTGCCTGCCCACAGCACACGCTGTTATTGTTATATCATTATACTAGAAGTGCTACCGAGTATCAGGTGTGATAGCAAAAGTAAGTGCAAAAGAGATACCTGTATGTGCCTAACATTGATAAAGCTGAAAAATTACTTGAGTTGGTAACTGTGATAGTTAAGACAATAACCTCTTATGAATAATGAGGTTGACAATATAATTTATCATCCAGACCTGAACACTTTTGAGGATGAAAAGGGACTATTAATAATTATTTTGAGACAACAGGCTTAATTCAGGGCCATCTTTAGTAATCTGGAAATTAGATCAGTTAATGTATGAGTGGCATCCCCAATAGTTCAGGTGCAGCAAATAGGGCCAACACAGAAGATTGTTACACTGATCTAGCCAGTGGGAGTAAGCCAGGAAATAACTGTTTTGTACCAATTTTTATGTAAACATTTCCTGCCATGGGCAGGTTACTTACTACATTTATTATAGGTTTTCAGAAAGTAATATTACACCTTGCAGAATATCCTTTACAGAATTTCATTTTGAAATGCTGCTCACTTGATTTCTATTTCAGAATATGACAAAAAATAACCATATGAAATCCCTTGCTGCACCTGTTTCAAGATAGGTTTGTGACAAGTGTACATTATATCATCCAGTATCCTTTCTAAAAATGTGACACATGAAATATTCCATTTAGAAATCAATGTTAGAAAAATGTTTTCTCTAAAATAGATAGGTTTACTTTTCTTTAATTATGAAAATTAGTTCATTCTGTTTTAATTTGGCCTGCAGAATATGTTGTCTCTTCTAATCTGCATTCTTGTCTTCTCAAGTACTTGGTCTTCAGTATCTATGTATATTTATATTTTTTCTTGTCTGGATTTTCTATTTCAATTTTCTGTTTTTAAAATATTATAAGTACTTTTTTTGTACACAGCTTTAAATCCTTCATAAATGGGATTGAACAAAGTATTGTAGATACATTTATGTTGTAGCAAACCAGTACAATCTAAATAGAGCTTTAACAGTGATCCTTCTGTAGACAACTATCGACAATGTTTTTTGTTTAGTATCTTTACAGGAAAATACCTAAACTAATGTCCACTGATTGCATCATCAGTGTTTCTGAATAGCTAATTTATGTATACTTTATCCTCTAAACCAAAATAAAGGCAGCGCTGTTCAGAAATGCTTCAATTCTTGCCACTAGCTCCCCTAAGTGGGGAAGGCTGGCATAACACTGATTAAATACTTAGGTGTCAAACCTTCTGCACAAAAGCCAGCGAGAGTCATACCTACACCAAAGATCTCTTATTACATTTCTTAAAATGCTGTCAAGATGAAAATACGGCAGGCCATATAAGAAAACAGGTCCTGGTATATTTAATATGAAAATTCATAGCAAAGGAATTTTGTAAGGGTTGAAATTTGGAAGAGCATAGACCTGTGCCTGATTAGATGTGTTATATATTAAACCTAGTGAACAAAGAGTTGTCACATTATCCCTGATTCTAGAACAACCACAACTTGAAAGGAGCTTGCCTCATTGTGTTCCTCCTCAATATACTGAATTACTTTTAGATATAGAAATTTACTTGGTAGAAGTCATTAATATCTGTACTATAACTAAATGTGAATATAAAGACCATAATTTAAACCATAGTAGATAAAAAAGGATTGGAGAATAGAGAAGAAACTAAGAAACTCCTCAAAAACTGGGTAAAGGAAACATAGGGCCTAGATTGATTTGCCATCAGTCAAAGGAACATAAGTAAATTTTAAGTGATCTCATCACAAATAACTGATAAGTATGTGAAGTATGTGACATGTTAAGGAGCTTGACTTATTCCACAATGTATACATATTTCAAAAGATAAAGGTGCATACTATAAATGCATAAAGTTTTATTGTCAATGTTAAAAAGGCAAGTATAGATTCTATAAATAAATTTGAAACTACTGGAAAAATAATAGTGTCTCCCAAGATCTAGAGGAAATGCACAATTTAAAAATATTTTCTGTGGTAAACATAAAGTAATATGACAGTAATTTTTTCTCTAAAGATTCTGAGGCACACACCTATTTCTTTCTAATTATAATATTAAGGAGATTTGGTAAACATGATAGACAGATGCATAGATTGATTAAATTGTGTTTTCCAAAATGATACCTCAAGTCCTAACCTCTGGTAACTGTGAATGTAACCTTATTGTGAAATGAGGTCCTTTCAGGTGTAATCAAGTTAGGATGAGGTCAGACTGGATTAACGTCTACCATAATCCAATGATTGGTGCCATTATAGGAGACATAAAGAGCAGAGAATGCCATGTGCAGATACACAGACATGAACACAGGCAAGAAGGCCATGAAAAGATAGAGGCAGAGATTTGAAGTGGCAACCACCAAAAGCTAAGAAGAGGCAATAAAGTATTTTTATTGTCTGTCTTTAGAAAGAACATGGCCCTGCTGCCACCATAATTTTGAACTTACAACCCCCCAAACTGTGAGATAATAAATTTGTTCTCTGAAGCCAACCAGTTTGTTATTTTGTAAAAGCTGACCCAACAAACCAATACAGACGATTAGACAATAAACTAGAGAGATAAATTACTATACATACAGGAGGCATGTAACCTTGCCCTGAGTTTCATACCTGGATAAGATAAAGTCCTGTCCCTTTCAGTATTATTTAATGAGGCTATATTTGCTTTGCTCCCTTGGGACTCCTTCTGGGGAGCCATGAATTCTTTGCAATATTTGATAGATAGTGGAGGCACGGTTCTTAAGCAAAAATTACTATTGCTCTTACCCTAATTGATATGGTTTGGCTGTGTCCTCACCCAAATCTCATCTTGAATTGTAATCCCCGTAATCCCCACATGTCACAGAAGGGACTAGGTGGGAGGTAATTGAATCATGGGGGCTGTTTTCCCCATGCTGTTCTTGTGATAGTGAATTTTCATGAGACCTGATGGCTTTGTAAGCATCTGGCATTTCCCCTGCTGGCAGGCATTCTTTTTCCTGCCGCCCTGTAAAGAGGTGTCTTTTGTAAAGAGGTGTCTTTTGCCATGATTGTAAGTTTCCTGAGGCCTCCTCAGCCATGCTGAACTGTGGATCAATTAAACCTCTTTTTTTTTTCTATTAATTCACTGTCTCGATTATATCTTTACTAGCAGCATGAGAACGGACTAATACACACTAGTCTACGATGTAACTGAGAGTATAAAAACATGAACACAGACACATCACTCAAAAAGTCAAGCTTCACCTTAATTCAGAAAACGTATTAGGCAGGGAAATGCCTTTATTAAAGGAGACCTCTTGGACACCATTTGTTTTAACTTTTATTTTAGATTCGGGTGTACACGTGAAGGTTGCCACATAGGTAAACTAGCGTCATGGGGGTTTGTTGTACAGGTTATTTCATAACCCAAGTATTAAACCCAACACCCAATAGTTATATTTTCTGCTCCTCTGTCTCCTCCTACCCTTCACCTTCTAGTCGACCCCAGTGGTCTGTTCTTCTTTGAGACATCAAAATTTAAATGTCTTTTTTCTTTGCATCTATTTACATTCTAGATGGGTGAGAAATATTTTTATGTATATATGTGGATAGGTACATATATATGTATGTATGTGTTTATGTGTAGGTAGGCATGCATATATGCATTTATGTATTTATGTATGCATGTAGAACTCTATGTGTGCATTTAAAAATATAGATTAGGCATTCACTTTAGGGAAAAGAAGACATAGAAGTTGTTTATCTGGAAACATTCTCTTCAAATGATCTGTGCCTGCATATTTCCTTGGAAATGATTCAGGTACAGCAGAGGTAACATTATTTAACCTAATTTGAAATTTAATGCCCCTAGTTATATGTAGGAGTCCCCATTTATTCACAGAGGATACTTTCCAAGATCCCCAGTGGATGCCTGAAACCACGGATAGAACTGAATCCTATATACGTAAAAATTTCTTTTTTCTTCTTCACAATTTTATGGATAGAAGATTCATTCTAACCATAGATCTTAGCAGCCTCAGCATACATTTATTTATTTATGTTTTTACTAAGTCAAAAATTTCACCTTGTCCTCTCTAGGAAGCACTTTATGGCTAACTCTTTGGCATATCTAAATTGTCAGCATCACTATTCTTGCTCTGTGGGGTCATTACTAAGTAAAATAAAGGTTACTTGAACAAAAGCACTAAAAAAAAATACAGTTGATCTGGTAACTGAGCTGGCTACTCAGTGGCTAACCTGTGGGGAGTGTTTACAGCTTGGATACACTAGACAAAGGGCTGACTCACATGCTGAGCCAGACAGAGCAGGACTGCCTGAGATTTCATCATACTACTCAGAATGGCTTGCAATTTAAAACTTATTAATTGTTTATTTCAGAAATTTTCCATTAATTTTTTCAGATCTCAGTTGATTACATGTAACTGATACCATGGAAAGCAAAATTGCTAATAAGAAAGGACTACTGTAATTTGAAATTTTTAGCATCATATGAAAAAAAGTGTCCTTAATCTGATAAAGAATAGCTACAAATTTCTGTAGCAAATGTCTTAATTAATCATGAACTATTGATGTTCTCCTATTTGAAGTATGGCATGAAAAAAGCTGTTCATTATTATTTTTATTCAATATGACATTGGAATTTTCACACAATTTGAAAACAAGAACTGACAAAATCATTTGAGAAGGAAGAAATATAGCTGAGATTATTTGCAGAAAACTTGATGTGCAGATAGAAAGCCCAAAGAATCAAATATTAGAATTAATAAATGAATTCAGCAAGAATTCTGAATGCAAGTAAAAATTTAAAATATTTATTAGAACAGAGATTATAAAATAAAATTAAAGGATATCCTTTTTGGTACTATACAAATCAGCTTCAGATTTAGAAATAAATCTGACAATGATATGAAAATCTATAAAACTTTACTGAATATAGTAAGTCTTAAGTGAATGGATTGCATTACTAAGAGATGTTCATTAGAATATTCTCTCAAAATTGATCTGCATTTCCAACATAATTTCACTCAAAATCTCATCAGTGTATTACCAATCCTAGTATATGCTATAATGAACATATAAAAAAATCAAGAAAACCCCAGGTAATCCTGAATTTATAAAACCAGACTGGAGAATTTACATTATAAAATATGTTGACCTACTAAAACTGTAGTAATTAAGGCATTACTTAGTTACTAAAAGTATTTGTGAAGAGATAGAAAATTGTACATAAAAGTACAGAAAGTAACACATTATTTATACCAAAGAAGAAACTGTAGAGTATTGGAGGAATTATGCACTTTTGATAAATGTAACTAGATCAAGTCAGTTGGGAGAATAATATTTGCTATATATATGTATATTTGTATGAAACTGAAAACATGTATATGTGTGTGTGTGTGTGTGTATACACATGAATATATATAAAGATTTCCTATATATAAATAGCAGGTAGAATCTCAATAAAATAAATTCACTTATGAATTTATTTGTAAATTATGAGTTCACAATTTAAATTTTGTAATTGGATTCAGCACTATATATTTTTAGTTAACTTCTTTACCAATACTTTCATTTATATGTTTTCCTAGTCATTAATTAAAATTCTCAAGAACATCGGTCGTGGTGCTAGGCATTGTATTTGAAAA
Organism: Homo sapiens; assembly: GCF_000001405.40. NCBI lineage: Eukaryota > Metazoa > Chordata > Mammalia > Primates > Hominidae > Homo > Homo sapiens. Next base: position 193,968,168 of record NC_000002.12, read on the forward strand.
AAAAGAAACATAAAAATATATTAAGCCTCACCATGGTGTCATCAGGAGGTTTTTGACAAGACTACTTGTAATCTTAGACATGCTTTGTACTACCATTTTCATTTTATTATCTTTCCCTTAGAAGACAGAAGACTTCTGTATATAAAGGTAGGCCAGAACTCACTCTCCATTTCTGGAAACTATTCTAGTAGTGGTCACAATGTCTACATTTTTTTTTTAGCACTAAGTCAAATCAAGTGACATGTTTTTTACTGCGGATTTATATCTGTCATATAATCATGTGTAGATTGACACTCGTTAGCAATCTATCACATACCAAAAATGATTTTCAACAAAAAAATGCATTTATATTTGTTTTCCTCATCTAAGTGCATCTTTTCTTATGTAAACATGGCACACAAACATATGCTAACCAAACAATAAGCTTATTCCACTGTGGTATGGTTTCCATCTATACAGAGAATAAGGTGATTGTGCTCTCTGTCTTATCTGCTGCTGGTATGTGAAGAACTGATTCATATAATGAAAATCAGTGAGACTAGCCCCACATAAAGTGAAACAAATGCTGGCATGAACAGTTGATAGTAATTCTTCTAACATTTAAGTCCTTTATATATGTTACATCTAACATGCAAAGATTAAAGATCATTGATTTCCCAAGATTCTCGCCATGCTTTTTCTCCTTTATCTTTTTTCTCTTTTTTTTTGCTATTAGAATTATTTGTAATGACGATGCTATCTTTTTGTTTTAATGAACACTAAAAAATTATCAAATATTCTCAACTTTATATGGAATGTAATTGTGTGATTTAAAAAAAAAAAACTTGCCAAAATGTTGTTCCTGGCCCCTCTAATCTTCACCTTCCTCTTATCGCCTTTCAGAATTTCTCTGGTTATCTCTTGCATTATTTTCAAGGCTTATAGTTGAATGTAGTAGGGAGGAACCTAAGGAGACAAGTCTATCCCATCTGGTCTATACAGAAAATGTATGGCTGCTTTTAATTTTATCTCTATCTCTGTTTTTAAACAATTCAATGATGATGTGCTTTGTATTTTTTTCATGTTTCTTGTGTTGGGGTTTATTGAACTTCTTAGGTCTTTAAGTTTACAGCTATTGTCAAACTTGGAATGCATTCAACTATTGTGGCTTCAAACATTTTTTCTACAATCCCTCCCCCAACTCCACTTACAAGGACTGCAATCACCACTTGCAGTATTAGGCTACTTGAAGATATAGCACAGCTCACTGGTGCTATTTTCATTTTTAAAAATCCTTTTTTCTCATTATGCTTATTTTTGAGATTTTTGTTTTACTGTATCTTCAAGTTTAATAATCTTTTATTCTGCAATGTTTAATTGGTCATTACTCTGTCTAGTGTGTTTTCATCTCAAACATTGTAGTTCTCTCTAGAAGTTGTATTTGAGTGTTTCTAAAAAACTTCTTTGTATATGCTTTTCTATATAAGGTAGTGATAGCAAATCTGTGTAATGGAAGTAATTCCAAAGAAATATGGAATTATTTACTCAGAATTGTGATCCCTTATATATTGAGTTTAATTTTGTAGCCATCAAGTTTAAAGTGCTAAAACTGTAACGCATTATTTGCAGAGTTGCACTGGCTAATTAAGCAATGAAACTATCAAATGTAAGCAGTGTTTAACATATAAAACAAGATATAATTTCCAAACCCAAAATAATACCTTGACATATTTGCTTAAATCTGTAGTAAAGCAAGAGTAATAATAAAAAAGGTTTATCTTTTCCCTAGTTTAGAATACTTATGAATTTGAAAGACTATGTATCAATAGTCTTATCCCATTTTGTGTTTAAAATAAAGGAACGCCTAAGGCCAGTTAATTTATGATGAAAAAAGGCTGATTTGGCTCACAATTCGAATGGCTGGAAAGTTTAAGATTGAGCATCTGGTGAGGGCCTCAGATGGGTTCCACTCATAGCAGAAGGTGAAGGGGAGCCATTCTGTGCAGAGATCACAGGGCGAGAGAGGAAAAGAGAGTATGGAGTGGGAGGGGAGGTGCCATCCTCGTTTTAACAACCAGGTCTCCAGGGAACTAATAAAATGAGAAGTTATTTATTCTGCAAGGGGAGCTATTCCACAAATAGAATTAATCTATTCATGAGGGATCCACCACTATGACTTAAGCAACTCCCATTAGGTCTTACCTCCAACATTGGGGATTTAATTTCAGCATGAGGTTTTGAAAGAACAAAGATCTAAATCAGGGGTGTCCAATCTTTTGGCTTCCCTGGGCCACAGTGGAAGAAAAATAAATGTCTTGGCCCACACCTAAAATGCGCTAACATTAACCATAGGTAATGAGCTAAAAAAATTGCAAAAAATGTCTTAATATGTTTTAAGAAAATTTATGAATTTGTGTTGGGCCGCATTCAAAGCTGTCCTGGGACACAGGTGGCCCACAGGCTGCCTGCTTGGACAAATTTGAGCTAAACCGTAGCAATTATGTTACAATGGTGCAGTACAATGATAGGAAAGCATAATTGTTACTCAAATTAAGAAGGATGTACCAAAATAAAAATCAACACATTATTTCCTTCACTGAGAATTTCTTGGTAAGAAAAAATATCAGTTGAACTATATAATGTGGCAAATGGCAAAGTAAAAACAGTTATTCATACAAAACCCAATGTGTTACATTTGAGATGATCTCCTTATTCCATGTTAATATGAAAGCCTATTATAAAGCTCAGTCCAGAAAAGTTATTTAAAATGTTTTAATTATATGAAGAACTCTTATTGAGTATGTATATTAGTCCATATTCACACTGCTGATAAAGACATGCCTGAGACTGGGTAACTTATTAAAAAAGAGGTTTTATTGACTCATAATTCCACATGGCTGGGGAGGCCTCACAATCATGGCGGAAGGGCAAGGAGCATCTTACAGGGCGGCAAGCAAGAGAGAGCTTGTACAGGGGAATTTCCCTTTCTAAAACCATCAGATCTCATGAGGCTTATTCACTATCACAGGAATAGCAGGAGAAAGACCAATCCCCATGATTCAATTATCCACCACTGGGTCCCTCCCATGACACATGGGAATTTTGGGAGCTACAATTCAAGGTGAGATTTGGCTGAGGACAGGGGCAAATCATATCAGTAGGCAAAACAAAAAAAAAAACAGTTTGGTCACATGTATTTAATAATGTAAATTGGGCTTCCATAACTATTATTTTATTTTATATTTTGTCTGAAAATAATCTTAATATTTTTATAAAAGACAGAAGTAAAATGTATTTTCAAAGGGCCAAAAGAGAAGTGACTCTTGAGAGAATAAGGTTACTATAATTCATAATGATAAGTTCAATAATTTAACAATTATAAATAAAGTTATGAGTGATGCTTGTTCTCTATATAATTATTACCAATTGCTTTACATTTGGAGTATAATATTTCTCTTTTTTTCATCAAAAGATTATGCATAAAAAATTCATGGATCCAGAATAATTTCTATTAAAAAATCAATTTTAATTACAAATTTACAAGATACATCACTAAAATCATCTTTTAAAAAAGAACTTATGATTAATTTTTAAAAACTTAAATAAAGAATTATTTGCATCATTTTAGATAACACAAAAATTACTAACCTAAGCATTGTCAAGTTATGTTTAAAATTGCTTTTTTCTCATCAATTCATGTTATTTCACTTCTTATTTTCTTTCTGTGACATATGTTTCTCTACTATGAATATAATAAAAGAAAACATAATAACCATCTAGATAAATATTACCCCTTGAGAATTTCATAATCATCAGTCTAATCTATATAAATATATCTTAGAAGCAAAATACAAGCTGAATGTTTACATATATAGGCATTAAATACAGCAAATCACTACTTCACTCATAACTTTCATTTCTTTATAAGTGCAAAACAAGCTGTAGACATAAATTTGATTCTATATGATACTATCTTCACATATCTTCAATAAAAATCTATCCTTTTTTAGTAATGGTTTCTTTCCTCCTGTGTTATATTTATTCTGAGTATATTTACTGAATATTGTTTTACGTCTATGGATTCTCATGTTAATAATCTGGATTTGCATTTGATCTCTTTAACATTTTTATTTTTTGTAAGTCATTTTATTGCATTTTACAGAATATTTTTAAACATATTAGAAATTGAAAAATAAAATGTATCCTTCACCACAGATAGATTGAGGACTGTCCTAGTGACCTCTTTAAATTTACATTTACTAACAATCATTATACTTTTTGCACAGGCAGTTTATTAAATCTGCAGCTTGACAATTGGCTCGGTTGTGCATTTGTATTAAAAATAAAATTGGAAACATTCAAAAGCATTTTGGTTGGATTTGTTATTTTTCATTTGTCATACATAGTTTATCTCAAGAAAGTTTTCAGAGAAATGGTACAAGAATGGGGAACATTGAGATACAACTCCAACCATGGGGAAAATTTTAAACCTTGGCCAACTGGACTACTTTGTGCTTAAATACTGTCTACTTTATGCTGTAGTGAAAAGAATATTAGGCTGATAGCATCACTACACATACTTTTATAAAAGATTATCTTACCAAAGGAGCAACTTTGGACTCTGTTTTTAAAACCTTCTAAACTATTACTTAGGATAACTCTGACCAGCAATGGTGTTATTATAAAAAATAATCAGTAAATAAATTGTGCTAGTTTGTTTTGTATTGTTGTAGCAGAATACCTGAGGCTGGGTAATTCATAAAGAAAATAGATTTATTTAACTCACAGTTCTGCAGACTGAGAAGTACCAAAAGCATTGCACTGGCATCTGTTCAGCATCTGGTGAGAGAAAGAGCCACGTTTTAGGTCAAAACATAGTGAGAAGTTCAAAGGGGAAGCCGACACGAACCTCATGAAAAGAGAAGCTCCTGGCTTTATAATAACTCACTCTCAAGAGGGAACGAATCCACTCCCACAAGAACTAATCTAGTCTTGCCAGAGTGATAACTTGCTTACCACCGTAAGAACGGCACCAAACCAATTATTAGTAATCCACTCCCATGAACCAACACCTCCCACCAGGCCCCCTCTCGCAAGATCACCAAATTAGGATCAAATTTCAACATGAGTTTTGGTGGGGACAAACAAACCATATCCAAACCATAACAGGAATCATACTTAAGAAATGGCCAACCTTAGCATAATCAGTGGTAGCTAACTGGATATTATATGCATTTGAGGTCATGCAATATTGATTATACAAGCTAATGAGAAGATGCTGGGTATAGATTTTTAAAAATGTGATATGTGAGGCTGCGTTACACGTTAAAATTTAAAGCCTAGCATAGTTAGATTTTGCAAATACTGGGTGTAAATTCTATTAGGGGAAGCACATTAAGAAAATCAGCTGAGACACATTATAGCAAATATATGGTGTGCCGAGTTCTGATAAGTAAAAATTAAAAATGTGAAATCTTTGTGACATCGGAACCATGTGTATTCATATAGTTTTGTAGACCCTGCCCCAGTTCTTTTTTAGTACATGTAGATCTAGCCAAAATACTCACATTAGAGCTCAAAAACAAGTATAAGCTGATACAATTCAAGTTACATGATGTGAAATTATTGAGGAGTGACATGGTGTGACTCTGGGTCCCTACCCAATTCTCATTTTGTAGCTTACATTATTTCCATATGTTGTGGGAGGGACCCGGTGGGAGATGACTGAATCATGGGGGAGGTTCTTTCAGATGCTGTTCTCGTGACAGTGAGTAAGTCTCACCAGATCTGATGGCTTTAAAAATGGGAGTTTGCCTATACAAGCTCTCTTTGCCTGCTGCCACTTACCCAGGGTGTGACTGGCTCCTCCTTACCTTCTGCCGTTACTGTGAGGCCTCCCCAGCCATGTGGAACTGTAAGTCCGATAAGCCTCTTTCTTTTGTAATTTGTCCAGTCTTGGGTATGTCTTTATCAGCAGCATGAAAACGAACTAATGCGAGGAGATTATCTAAAAATAATCAGTAATTTTTGTTGAAATTTTCAAACTTTATTTCTTATTGGATAACAACATTTATGATTAGCCCCTAAAAAGCTTTACATGCTTAAAATAATACTTGTAAGGCATTCTTCCCAAAACAGTGACTGAGATCTCCATGTATTATATACTGCTCACAAATATTACAGTAATTAACAATAAAAATATGTATTAAGCTCTTAATATATGTCATAATTTCCATAGCAATCTTATGAATTATATACTATTATTATCCACTTTTGTACATAAAAAAACCCTACACATAGGTTCATTAGTAAGTACCATGCCTAAGGTCACGCAGTAAGTGGCGGAGCTAGAATCCAAACACACGGATTTTGGCTCGTATTTCTATTCATATTATTAGAAAAATAAAACCATTAAACAGTAAGTACCAAATGCAGACAATTTCTGAGGCAAATAGGATAATTGGTGAATATATCAGTATATTAGATTTAAAAAATGATGTTTTGACATAACCGGTTTGTTACACATTATTGTTAATTTATGAAATAGAAATATATATATTGTGTGCCATATTAAAGTGATTTTTCTTGTTAAAGTGAGTATGCATATTCTTGTTCATGTGATCATGAATGTTCTGTTTTGTTAATGCCAGTGGTATTTTACCATCCTGATTTTTTTTTTAATATATAGGAAAAAATGAAGTTTTCAAGGGAACTCTGACTTCCTATTTTACAGGCACAGGGAGTGTCATTCTTTGCTTTGAGATGATTGGCTATCTCACAGTCAACTTCTGAGCATAATGCCATGTTTGCCTCTTTTTAGTTATACATTTCATCTTTGGTCTTTTGAAAATACTTATATGCCTATAAAAATGATAAGAAGAAAAACAATATCATCCCATGTACTTTGGTAAGGCTACTTCAAACCTTTCCATGACCTTATAATGTTCTAATTTTGCATTGAAATTTTATGATATGTAAAAATGATAATTAAAGACACTAACAATTCAATGTTTATGTATCCCATTTTAATTTTGCTTAGTTTTGGTTTTCACATATTAATTTTACAATCCAATGTAAACCAATTTTTTTGTTGATTACCAGTAACTGACAATGTTATCAAATCACACTGAATCACAGAAGTGTTGTAGCCAAGCTGAAAGCAGTTGTAATTATTTGAAATAATCTATGTGTTCACTGGTGTATGTAAAACATTTGTAAGGAAATAAATGCTGTGAACTTGTGATTATTACTAAGGCAGGGGTGTTGTATAAATTAATAAATTTCTACACTGAAGAAAAAAACTAGCTGGAAAAATACTGGCAAACCTGAATATAAAATGACACAGTCGCTTTATTAACAACATATTTTGTTAGAAAACATTCCCCCAGAGAAACGTTATTTGAAATTTACAAATAATTCATTTTGATTTAATGAAATCCATAAAAATAAATTAACAAATAAATTAATAACATTAGTCTTGGATACATAAAAGTATAATACTATACAATTTCCTTCAGTGAGAATCTTTTGCAGGAGTACCTTTTTGACACTTTATGGTAAGAAGAACTTCAAAGAGAAACATTGTGAAAACCTTTTAGTTTCGTGAAGTCTATGACATATAGTTTTCCAAACATGGCTTGCTATTCTTCATGAACTTTGACTAATTTTCTAACCATACCTCTTTGCATTTTAGTTGAGAACAGCATGGCAAAAATTATATAAATAAGAGGTCCTATATCATAAATAGCATCTTTAAAAAAATAATAGTTTTCTTAAACAAAGCAGGTCATTTTCATATCTGCACTGTTTCGACCTTTAAGAAAACTTCATCTTTCCTTCAGTTGTGGTCTTGTAATAAAAAAGTTAAAGTGTCTTAATTAAAAATATTTTATAAACCTCTTTCATTTGCTATAAGTCAGTTTGTGGCATATATTTATTACTTAAACCAAAAGCAGCAAATCTGTAGTACACTCTCATCATTGAGCAGAATAGTTATTTGTCTTTGCTTATTCAAGTTGTATTTTGCTGTACTCTACAATAATGGTAAATCATTACAGTCTTTGCAATTTAGACTTCATTTCAAAAAGGACAACTATTTCAAAATTATTCATTCATCCAGGTTGGATAGTAAGAAATATAAGAAATTAACTATCAATTCTTAACATTAAATGTGATCATCCTAATTGAAAATGTAAGCAAAATTTTCATTGAGTTACCAAACGAAAGGCAATTCACACTTAAAATTAGATGTTTACTACACAATTAAAAAACACCAGAAGGAGGTAATTGATGAAAGCAATGTGATAATAAAGTATATCTGGTATTTTTGTGGAAAATCCTCTATCTTTTTCAAATTGAAAAGTAAAGTGTCTGTATTAGACTTACTAATAGCAAGCTCTTCAAGTCCTTGTTGATTATATCATTATACTTTTTGTATAAAGTTGTATAAACCCAATCAATGGACAGAGGAAAGTTTCATATCAACTCAACTACCTCATAATTTCTTTAAAAATATATGCTTATTTGTGGTTTGGGCAATACTATATAGAGTATTTAGTACAATTATAAACTCTGAAAATAACACAAAAACAATCAAATGAGAAATCTGAAAGGCAGTAAGGCAGGCCACTGTAGGACTGAAGAAAGATTAGTGTCAGAAGGTTTTTACATGCCCTTGCAAACCCGAAGAAAGAAACCCTGACATGGCACTTCCTGTCCCCAACTTAGCAACAAAAGGCGGCAATATAGGCTGATTCCTCCCCTGATTCCACCATGACACCCTCTGCAACACCAGGTGAAACAGAGGATTAATAGACTCTGCTAAACATTAGCACCAGGGAAGCTCTCAGGTAGAGATATCTAGCTAGCCTGGAAAAGCTTATCCACCACGATCAAGTTGGCTTCATACCTGGGATGCAAGGCTGGTTCAACATACACAAATCAATAAACGTAATCCATTACATAAACAAAACCAATGGCAAAAACCACATGATTATCTCAATAGATGCTGAAAAGGCCTTCGACAAAATTCAACAGCCCTTCATGCTAAAAACGCTCAATAAACTAGGTGTCGATGGAACGTATCTCAAAATAATAAGAGCTATTTATGACAAACCCACAGCCAATATCATACTGAATGGGCAAAAACTGGAAGTATTCCTTTTGAAAACCAGCACAAGACAGTGATGCACTCTCTCACCCCTCCTATTGAACACAGTATTGAAATTTCTGGCCACGGAAATCAGGCAAGAGAAAGAAATAAAGGGTATTCAAATAGGAAGAGAGGAAGTCATACTGTCTCTGTTTACAGATGACATGATTGTATATTTAGAAAATGCCATTGTCTCAGCCCAAAATCTCCTCAAGCTAATAAGCAACTTCAGCAAAGTCTCAGGATACAAAATCAATGTGCAAAAATCACAATCATTTCTATACATCAATAACAGACAAACAGAGAGCCAAATCATGAGTGAACTCCGATTCACTATTGCTATAAAGAGAATAAAATACCTAGGATTCCAACTTACAAGGGATGTGAAGGACCTCTTCAAGGAGAACTACAAACCACTACTCAAGGAAATAAGAGAGGACACAAACAAATGGAAAAACATTCCATGCTCATAGATAGGAAAAATTAATATCATGAAAATGGCCATACTGTCCAAAGTAATTTATAGATTCATTGCTATCCCCATCGAGCTACCACTGACTTTCTTCACAGAATTGGAAAAGCCTACTTTAAACTTTATATGGAACCAAATAAGAGTCCATATAGCCAAGACAATCCTAAGCCAAAAGAACAAAGCTGGAGGCATCACGCTACCTGACTTCAAACTATACTACAAGGCTACCATAAACAAAACAGCATGGTACTGGTACCAAAACAGATATATAGACTAATGGAACAGAACGGAGGTCTCAGAAATAACACCACACATCTACAACCAACTGATCTTTGACAAACCTGACACAAGCAATCGGGAAAAGATTCCCTATATAATAAATGGTGCTGGGAAAACTGGCTAGCCATATGCAGAAAACTGAAACTGGACCCTTTCGTTACACCTTATACAAAAATCTACTCAAGATGGATTAAAGACTTAAACATAAGATGTAAAACCATAAAAATTCTATAAGAAAACCTGGGCAATACCATTCAGGACACAGGGATGGGCAAAGACTTCATGTCTAAAACACTAAAAGCAATGGAAACAAAAGCCAAAATTGGCAAATGGGATCTAATTAAACTAAAGAGCTTCTGCACAGCAAAAGAAACTATCATCAGAGTGAACAAGCAACCTACAGAATGGGAGAAAATTTTTGTAATCTATCCATCTGACAAGGGGCTAATATCCAGAATCTACAAAGAACTTAAACAAATTTACAAGAAAAAAAAAATCAAAAAATGGGCAAGTATATGAAGACACACTTCTCAAAAGAAGACATTTATGCAGCCAACAAACATATGAAAAAATGCTCATCATCACTGGTCATTAGAGAAATGCAAATCAAAATCACAATGAGATACCATCTCATGCCAGTTAGAATGGCAATCATTAAAAAGTCAGGAAACAACAGATGCTGGAGAGGATGTGGAAAAATAGGAATGGTATTACACTGTTGGTGGGAGTGTAAATTAGTTCAACCATTGTGGAAGACAGTGTGGCAATTCCTCAAGAATCTAGAACTAGAACCAGTTGACCCAGCAATCTCATTATTGGGTATATACCCAAAAGATTACAAATCATTCTACTATAAAGACACATGCACACATATGTTTAGTGCAGCACTATTCACAATAGCAAAGACTTGGAACCAACCCAAATGCCCAACAATCATAGACTGGATGAAGAAAATGTGGCATATATACACCATGGAATACTATGCAGCCATAAAAAAGAATGAGTTCATGTACTTTGCAGGGACAAGGATGAAGCTGGAAACCATCATTCTCAGCAAACTATCACAAGAACAGAAAACCAAACACCGCAGATTTTCATTCATAAGTGGGAGTTGAACAAGGAGAACACATGGACATGGGGAGGGGAACATCACACACAGGGGCCTGTCAGGGGGTGGGGGGCTAGGGGAGGATAGCATTAGGAGAAATACCTAATGTAGGTGAGGGGTTGATGAGTGCAGGAAACCACCATGACACGTGTATACCTATGTAACAAACCTGCATATTCTGCACGTGTACCTCAGAACTTAAAGTACAATAAACAAAATAACTTTAAAAAAAATAAAAACAAACCAAAAAAGACAAAAAGAGAAAACCGTACTCCTGCAACCAAAAAGTGAGTCGGGTAGCCTTCAAAATACAATATATGAGATCAACACATAAATATGCATTATTTCTGTATTATAGCTATTAAGAAGTACAGTAATATCCCCAATTGCTTGAAAAAAATAAACATTTCAGTAGACACAACAAAATATGTACAGTATCTGTTCGCTGAAAATTACAAAGTGCTGATCAAAGGAATCAAAAACCTAAACACATGTAGAGACATATCATGTTCAAATGTTTTTTCTTCAAGAGCATCTCAGTTGTTTTGACCTTTTGTATTTACATGTAAATTTTAGAATCAGCTTGTTCAAGTTCCATTAAAAAAAATCTGTTGGAAAAAAAAAAGCATTGGAAGACTCAACAGAGTAAACATGTTACTTTTTTTCAAACTGATCTTTTTCAGATTTTAATACAATTTCTATTAAAAGCCAAGCAAGGATTGTATAGACATAAAAAAGTTTATATAATTTTTATGGCAATGCATATACCCTCCAATAGCCAAAACAATCTTGACAAAGAAAATACTGTGGGGGGAATTATCTTAAAATTATGTTAAGGCTTACAATGTAGCTACATTAATCAAGATAGTGTGGTATTGATGGAAGGACAAACTTAATCTAAGAAACGGAATGAACAACTCTAAAATAGACCTACACAAATATGATTAACAAATTTTGATAGATGGACAAAAATAATTCAGTAGAGGAAGAAGCTATTCAAGTAAATAAATAGGTATCAGAACAAAGACTATTACCTGGAATAAACATGATAATTTTTTAAGGATAAAAGGATTAATTTATCAAAAGGACATAAAAATCTTAAATATGTGTGCCTTCAGTAAGAGAATTTGAAATAACTTAAAGGAAAAGATGATGGAACTGCTAGAAGAACTAGAGGAATTAATAATTATATCCAAAGATTTAAATAGACCTCTTTCAATAATTGGTAGAACAGACAGAAAATCAACAGGAACATAGTTGAATATGAAACCTACCCAAATATCTCATAGACCTTTTGTTGCAAATGTAGAAATTGACCCTTCTGGTCTTAAAGTTTGAAATTTATATTTGTTTTATCTGAGTTCTTTTCTCAGAAAACAACCAACCTTCATACCTCTCAAAAAAAGTGGCAAAGAACTAAAATTCACCAGATCACCACTTCCAGACAATTAGATGCCAGACCCCTCATTCATTATGATTGCTTCCTTAGGCCTCCTGGGTTCCTGTTTTCTTACACATTGTTACATTTCTTCCCTGCTGATTAAAACCCCTAGTTTTAGTGGGTCAGGGAGATTGATTTGAGACTGATCTCCCATCTCCTTGGCTGCAACACCCAATTAAAGCCTTCTTTCTTGGCAATACTCATTGTCTCAGTAACTGGCTTTCTCCGCGGTGAGCAGCAGGACCTAGACGGAACCTCTGGTGTTTCCATAACAATTAGATTACTATTGACCAATTTAATCAAGCTGACATTCGTTGAACATTCCACCTAACAACAACAGAATATATATTGTTATCAATTGCAGGTGGAACAATCATCAAGGTAGAAAATATTCTGGGTTATAAAACAAATCTCAATAAATTTGAATGATTCAGTTCTTACAAATATTTTATCTGACTCCAACTAAATTCATTAGAAACCAATAACAAAGGTGTCTTTGGAAAAACCACAAATATTTGGAAATCAAATAATGAACTTTAATTAGGTACCCATGAGTAAAAGGAAAAACCTGAAGTATTTTGAACTGAATAGAAATACTACATATCAGAAGTTTTGAAATGGCATTGAAACATTACTTAGGGGGATATTATAGTCTGAGATGCCTACAAAAAAATTTAAAAAATAGTCTCAAATCAATAATATCAGCTTCTGTGTTTTAAAAAAAGGAGAAAGAAGTAGAAAACAACAGGAACAGAAAATAATTGGAAGAAATAATATAATAAACCAAGCAGAATACAGCAAAATATAAAACAAAAGTGTGTATAAAACCTGACTCTTTGGGAAAAAAAAATCAGTAAAAATGATACAATTTCAACCAGACTAACTATGAAAATGGAAGAGCAAAAGTGGCCAAGACCAGTTAAGAGCTAGGAGGTGACATTACTAAAAACTCTACATATATTAAAAGAATAATAAGATAAAATTATGAACAACTGTATGCCTAAAAGTTGGACAACTTAGGTTAAATAGATAAATGCTGTACTTTGAAAGATACAACCTATTAAAATTTACATAAGATGATATAAATAACCTGAAAGGTCATATAGTAAATTTATTTAAAACCTTCCGACAAAGGTATCTTCTGCCCCAGATTGCTTCAGTGGTAAAATCTACCAAATTTTTCAAGAAGCAATAATAGTAGTTATACTAAAAAAAGATTGAGAAAATTGAAAATGAATTAATTCTACCCCACTCCTTTTAAGAAGCAGGTTTTACCCTAATAGTAAAACCAGAAAATTTATTATAATAAAAGAATATTTCACAAGTCATAAACATAGTGTAAAATTTATTTAAAAATTAGCATTTTTGAGTTTAATAATATATAAAAAGTATAAAATATTTTGATGAAGCCTTTCTAGGGATAAAGGGATCATTTAGCATATGAAAATCCATCAATGGAATTTACCATATTAATATTTTTAATTATATTATCATCTACATATATTCAGAAAAAGCATCAAAAGAATCATACATCGATTCCACATACAAATCTTCACAAAATAGAAATTGATTTATTTAACCTCATACAGACATCTTCAGAAATTATCAGGCTTAATAATGAAAGAATGAATGTGTTCCTCCTAAGATTAAGAACAAGGTAAGAATTCTTTTCTCATCACTTCTATTCAACATTCCCATGGAAGTTATGGCATCCCTGTGGGCTTTGCTCCTATATATTTTTTTCATGTTTTAGAAGAGTATGGCCAGATAAACTTCATAAGGACATCTCTTTTGCTTAACAGGTTGTATTCATTTTATGTCCAGTACCAAAATTTTTTCTGGCATCTAGAAAGTAGCAAATAAATATCAGTCAAATGGCTGAACAAATAGACACATGAATGAAAGAATGAATGAATGAATGAATGAACCAATCAATAAGGATCATGCTTCTGTGGTTAAGTCACTAGTCTTGCCATGAACCTTATACCTTTGATGAATATCATAAAGTCTTTTGTCTATAGGAAAGGAAAATAAAATTATGGGTAGATATTTTCCTTTCTTTCAAATACTTATGTGATATTTATATTATTTATGGTAAATGATTGCTGGCTTAATTTATTAAAAAAAACAAAAATTTAAATGAATTGTGTATAACATTTACACTAAAATGTAAATTACTTTAAATATATTGTGTCAGCTAATATTATTTGATAAAATTAATAGTCTATTTTTAGACTAAAATATTAAATTATTATGAAATCACTTCACTCGAGCCCAAAGTGTCATGCAAAGTAAAATGAAAAATCTGCCTTACTTCTGTTACCCAAGTTTAACGCCTAGAAGGAAACAGGCATGGCAGATGGCAATGCAGGGCCCTGGTGATGTTTGGTTGCCACTGAGACTGACTGTGCAAATTCAAAGTCAGAGAGAGACACACTCCTGCCAATCTTCAGCTTAGTTGATCCTCACATATTAACTGTCTTTCTCTTTCCCTGGAACAAAAGTACAACAAAATATTTTAATAATAATTAAAAAATCTAAGTAAATGAATGTTGAACATAATGTTTGTAATACTTACTGACTTAGTTATGCCTTACCTGTTGTTGTTGACGTTTGAGAAGAAAATCATTCTTGTTAGTCCAGACTATTTATAAGTGATCTTTTATTTTCCAAAATAAAGAAATGATCCGCCTTCTCGTGATTATATTCAAAATGCCTTATTCTCTGGATTAGGAGCTTTTCATTGCAAAATAGGGGGTCTAATAGTGAAAACAGGTCAATTAAATTGTAGTGAAATTATACTCCCAGACATATTTTCACAGCTTCTGATTATTTTAAGTAAAGAAGCTTCTATGTGCTACTTGTAGGACCCAAAAGTTTAGCTTATTTTCAATCATTTTTTAGTTGTCATAGAAGCAAATGGTACAGAAGCAAAGTCAAAATAACGAGTTTAACAACTCTTCGCTTGTTGTATCTAAGCTGTTCTATTTAATTGTGGAAAACATAAGCTGTTTAAAAAATACAAAGAAATCTTTGCTAGCTTTCAGAATATAGACTTTTGATTATATTTCTAGAGTCTAGAATGTGTTTTTGTTGCATATAGGTAATGCATATTCCAATTGAATACTGCTTTTTAAAATTAGTTATTATCATTGCCTTTTAACTAATGAATACAAAGCTTTTGAGGTCAAATTTTTTTAGAACTTATTTATTCATTTATAAAAACAGGCTTTAATCTATTTTAGGTTATTACCCCCAAATGTTAGGGTAGTTCCCTCAAATGGTTCTTTGAGAATTTAGAAACTGTATTAATGATTATTGTCTACCTATACTTTTTCTAATAAAAGAGATTCGGCAATGATATCCAAAATATCTCTTTTTATTTGAATTAAATGTCCTTTAAATAAGTTTTATTTTAAATCGCAAGAGTGTAGCAAGTAAAAGTGAAGGAAAAGCATCTATTTCTAACACTAAATCACACCTAACTATGGAGTTAAGGGGTCATATTTCAAGAGGACAGAAAGCATTATTTTATATAATCTAAAATTTTGGTATTAATTTTTAAAAAGCTTTTCCTTTTCATATTGAAAATTCTATTATCAAGTAACTATAAAAATACTCCTGAAGAATATCAACCCCATTCATGAGATTATGTTTGGTACAAATGATTTCTTGTGCAGTATGTGGAAATAGAACTCCACGTGTATTGGAACCACAAATTACAAATGTGGAAATATAGAAGTTCCCACAGTTTAACTGCAGTGAGCCTGACATCTGGCAGCTACTCTGCTGAGACTCTCCACTTGAGGGCAATTCACTGCTCATTTTTGGGTTATTGTAACATTTTCCCTGTGCAGCAACTTGCTGTGTCCATAATATAAAGTGTCCTGAGGTAGAAAAGAAAAGCCAATCATGAACCGATGGCCAGGTGAAGTAGCTCACAAATAAAGCCATTCCTCCTTATTCTTTCCCTTTCCAAGAGGAGCATATGTCATATGTAGCATAGCACTTTTAGATGGCATGGAGTGTGGAAGACTGCCAAGTTTTTCTCACTATAGATTATAATTTGGTTCTAGAATTTGGGATTCTCCTAACATTGATTCATCCTATATTTTATAGCTTTGATTATAATTATTTTCAATAATTACAGGAAATTTTAAATGAATGTCAACACTCAAAGATTCTAGTTGCAAAAGATGTTGCATGAATTAGTTGCCCCAAGATCCAATAACCTTGGAATACACTGTTATTTTATAGCCCCTTGGGAAATTCACAATGATTAGATGATTAGTAGCCTAATATCATCTATGAGAAATCTGAGGTTAAAATTATGGTTTATTTTTTAACCAGGATTTCTTAAATTCAGTTGTTCTTCTGACATCTGTAAGCAATATATGGAAGAAGTTGGGAAATGCTTAAGTGAAAGATTTGGTTCATTATGATTAAATAAATATACATATTTTAACATGATAGACTAAATTGCTGGTGAAATTTCATACAAATTTTAATAAGGATAGTAAATAATATCAAATGACTTCAGGCCATCTGCTTTGCATGACATATCCATGGGAAATGCTGGAAGCCAGGCTGATATTTTCACTTCCTCGAATGTTCTCTACAGGTATTGTCATTACAGTTCTTATTAAACCAGATGGAGTCATAAAGACAAATAATAGTACCTTTTAAAAATATGTTGAATACAATGCTTTTGTGTGGGCATAGATTCTTAAAAATAATCAACAACATAGAATTAAGTGATGTGTTATACTCAAGATCCAGAAGCAAAAATCTTCACTTTCTCATCTAATAGTAGGATTGGAGTGCAAACATGCAATTTTAAATTGTAAGAATGCCTTTTAGTGATTGTGTGTTCCATCTGTCACAGTCTCCACATTTCATCATTGACAACATTCGTGATGCGATCCAAGAAATTGTTCCCAGCAGGTTCTATCATATAGAACAATTTTTTTTTATATATGGGCAGGTTGTTAAATCAGCATTCTCAATTTCAGACTGGAAATGAAAATCAACACCAAACATAGCAAATAAGTGAAACTAATGTATACTTATAGATAATTTTATGTGTGAATTTAGAAATGTAGTTAATACAATGTAGACCATATGAAAGTATAATAAAATGAAATAATAAAATAAAAGGGATTCTTCAGGCTCTCTACAATTTATGACTCAATTATAGAAAGAAAAAAATGTGACCCCTCTCCTACGCATCTTACTTAATTTGATAATTAAACCAATATGTGTTTCTTTGTTGGTTCAGACCCACTTGAATCTCTAAAGAAAATGTCTGCTGTAAACTATGGGAATACAAGAAGTGTGGTAGTATCGGCTTTGTGTTGGTTATCTTCTGCTTCTTAACCAACAACCCAAAGATGTGATGGATTAAAATAATAATGATTTCACTACATCTAGTATTGTTGTAGGTGAGTAATTCAGACAAGTCTCACCAGATCTATTTTCCTGTATATGGTAGCTACAGGGTCACACAGTAGATTTCAGCTGTCAGTTGGGTAAAGAGTCTAAGATAGCATCACTCATGTTTGATTCATGCTGGGAGTTCTGGAAGGCTAGGCTCAGCTAAGCTCCTTTCCATCTCCTGGTAGTATCATTGCCTCATCAAATGTCCTTTCCAGCAGGATAGTCTGAATTATCTGGTGGCTCAGAACTCTAAAGTAAAAAGAAAGAGTTTGTAGTCCTCTAAAGGACTAGATCTGGAATATATTTATTCAAAGTAGTAATAAAAGAAGGGAAAATAGACCTTAATTTTTTATGAAGAAGTATCAAAGAATTTGTGGACATTTTTAATCTACCACAGTCCAATATCTAGTCACAAAACATTTACATTTTTCCACATATAAAATATACTCACCCCCTTTACTATGGACTGAATTGTGTCTCTCCCCAATTCATAGGTTGAAGCCTCAACCTCCAGTGTGGTTGTATTTGGAAAAGAGGTCCTTGGGAAATAGATGTGGTCATGAGGGTGGGGTTTTCATGATGGAATAATTATTATTCTTATTAGAAGAAGAAACACAAGAGCTTGCTGTCTCCACCATATAAGAACACAGTGAGAAGCCTGCCATCTGCAATCCAGGAAGAGGTCCCTCACCATAAACATACCATGCTGGCAGCCTAAGCTAATACTTCTAGCAGTACTATGAAATATACATTTTCGTTGTTACATCCACCCCATTTTATATTGTTATGGCAACCCAAGCTGATTAAGACACTCTTCAAAGACTCCTGAAGTCTCACGTTTTTAGGAGGTTGACTCAAATTCCAGATTCTCACCTTCTAAATCAGGTCTAGGTGCAGATGAATCTTCTTGACTGGGGTTCATCAAGTACAACATCTGTCCTTTAGAAAACTTATGATGTAAATAGACAAGATATTTGCTACTGACATACACAGCACACAATGAATGAACATAGAGAGGCACTACTGTCATGAACAGGGGGATATAGGAAGAAGAGAACAATAATTGATCCATATCAATTCTGAAATTCACCAGAGTACACAATGCTGGTTCCTTGATTAGGGGCTTATTCTACTTTATGGATGTAGTTCGTTATTGCTTGTAACTTCATATTATGGGGTCTTGGCTACAGTCCCTGAATTATCTTTTCTTTTCCATAAAGATGGTCTGTGTTTGCAGATGGTCTGAGTATTTTCTCAGCCTATTTCCTGTATATTAAAATTTTAAAGGTTGAGGAATTGAGGGTGATTTTCATTAATCAGTCTTTCAAACCAAATAATGTTTCTGAAAACATATGTATATATATATATATATATATATATATATATATATATATATATATATATCTGCTTTGACTGAGTCACATACTGTGGAACAATGACAATAAGAATCTTTACAGTTCTAATGGGCATTTCCTTAATATTTATCTGAGATGGCAACAAAGAATCTTGAAACTGTATCCTTGAAATATTTATCTAGCCCCATACTATATAAAATGTGTCCTGGATTTTATGTTTGCCTTGAGTGTATTTCTTATTTTACAATCTTTTGCCATCTAGAGGGACTGGGTCTTAGAAACAGTTTTATTTTAATCTAGAAAATTCTGGCTCTTTTATATTTCCTGTAAGCTCTGCTAAAAACTGACAATTCTTCCCTTAGCAAATATCTTGTGTCTCATATTTTAACATAGGAAGTTAGAATAAGCATTTAAACTTTGTATATTCTGCTTGGGAATCTTTCCAGTAAAATTCATGAGTTTTTGTCATCAGCAAGCAAGGAAGAGTGTACTCACAAGGACCCAGCCATATTAGCACCCTGATCTAAGATTTCCAGCCTCCAAAACTGGGGGAGAGAAAATAAATTTGTGTTGTTTTTAGCTACCCACTTTATGGAATTTTGTTATGGTAGCCTGAGCAGACTAAGACAGATTTTAGTAAGAAGAAGTGGGGTGCTGTTGTAACAAATACTTAAATGTGGTAGCAGTTTTGGAATTGAATGATGGGTAAAGGCTGGAAGAATTTTTGAAGTGCATTCTAGAAATATGGACTTTAAAGGACATTCTTATGAGGGTTCAGAAAGAAAAGACAAGGGTTGGAGAGACAGCTTCTTAAAGAATATGTAAATAATCATGAATTGAATATGAGTGACCTATGGACATTAAGGGACATTCTCGTCAGGTTTCAGACAGAAATGAGAAACATGTTATTGGAAACAAGGAAAAGCAATCTTTGTAATAAAGGGGCAAAGGACTTGACTGACTTGTTCTTTAATGTTTTGTGGAAGGTAGAACTTGTTAGAGATGAAATTGGATATATAGCTGAGGAGATCTCTAAACAAATTATTGAGGGAGTGGCTTTGTTCCTTCTGACAGCTTACAGTAAAATGCAAGAAGAGGGCAATTGATTGGATAATTAATTATTAAGCAAAAAGAAACTAGGACTTGGAGATATGAAAAATTCTCAGCATACCTACCTTGCAAAAAATGAGAAAGCTTGTTCTAAAGAGAACACTAAGGACGTGGCTGAGCAACCATTTTATAAAGAGATCATGAGAGTGACTCAGGAACATAAACAGCGTGTCACTGAAAGCCAGGAATAGAGATGGGATTATATCAGCACAGACACTGCCAGTTTGAAGTAAAGGAGAAAGAGAAAGTGAGCTGGAATGAAGGAAGACTGGCAGACTTCTTGGCTTCTACAAGACAGGACCATAGAGTGACTTGGCTGCAAACATGTGCTATTTTTTGATAAGTGAACTATGACCCCAAAGGTGATTCTGAGATCATCAGAACTGTCTCCTTGATTTCAATGAGTGGGGCTACTGCCTCAGTGTCAACAGGCCAATGGTATTCACCTAAAGCCTTGAGGCAGAATTCCCCTGCAGAGCTGTGAGGAGTAGGACTACCCAGCAGAGCCTCAGAGTCTCAACCTTCACCCTGCAGAGCTATGGGGCCAGGATCACCATGACAATGGGTCCAGAAGGTGGGACTGCTGCATTAGTGGGCCTGGAGGGTAAGACATTGAGACAAAGATGGCTATCCTCCTCGAAACTTAAGATCTAATAAAATTTGCCTTGCTAGGTTTTGAACTTGATTGAAACACATAATGTCTTATTTCTTTTCTATTTCTCCCTTTTGAAATAGGAATATCTATCCTATTCCTGTCCCATCATTATATTTTGGAAATCCATAACTTGTCTTTTTTCACATATTCATATCTGGAGAGGAATTGAATTGTGCCTTAGGATGAATCATACCCTGAATGTCACCCATATCTGATTTAGATCATACAAATTTAGATGAGACTTTAGACTTGGACTTTAGAGTGGGTGCTGGAATGGGTTAAGACTGTGGGGCTGTTGGGATAGAATGAAAGTATTTTGCATGTGAGAAGAACACACATTTTAAGAGGCTGAAACAAAGTGCTATTAATTAACTTGTGTCTCCTTAAAATTCATATGTTGAAGTACTGACAACCTATCTGATATTAGAGATAAGGCCTTTAAGGATGTCATTACAGATAACTGAGTTCATAAGTGTGGAGCCCTGAACAAATAGAACTGGTGCCCTTATAAGAAGTGAAAAAGGATATCAGAGCTCTCTCTCTCCACCATATGAAGACACAGAGAGAAGGCAGCAGTCTGCAATCTAGATATGGATGGAATGGATCCCTCACAGAACATGATCATGCTGGTACTCTAATCTTGGACTTCTAGCCTCCCGAATTGTGAGAAAAAAATGTCTTGCTTACGTCATCCAGTTTATGGTATTTTGTTATGGTGGCCCAAGTGAATACAAGAAGCTTTGGTTTATTGCATGGGTAATTAAACATTAAGTTGTAGTGTGCAGTAATTCCAAGATATAGCAATGGAATTTTGTGACTAATGTTTGCTTAAAAATATCAGAGGCAAATTTTTAAATTTATTTGGGGAGGAGTATTCAGGAGAAAAAATATGAAAGATTTGGAGAAAAATGGACTAATGTGACTAATCTAAATATTTGCTATGCTTCGCATTACTTGTTTAAATAATGATATTCATAGAAACAACATTCTTATATTTTGTCTTACATCAGCGTGCAATTTCTTGCCTGAAAATTAACTATTAAACTGAAAGGTGGAAAAGGAAAATAAGGGTATTGTGATGTTGAAGATTGACAAAAGTTTCCATTAACATGAAAGAAGAAATTGAGCCTAAGTTTCCTCTGAGGTAAAAGATAAATTCTCGGAACAATAAATAAATGGAATAAGTATTGAATATTCACAAATATTTTTATATCATCTTTCTAAATTGCTATATAACCCACAGAGAACTATTCAGCATGATATTTTAGGGTCATTAGCAAGATATTACATAATATATAATACATAATATATTTAAAATGTCCAATTCTGCATTGGTTAGGGTAGGTTCATAAATATAATTCAGAATGATCATGCTGTATTTTTATAGTACTTAAGTAAATGGTATAGGAGCCCATGTGGTTTACTACAGATAGGTGGGTTTTCAAGATCTTTATTGAACTGAACAGCCAGAACATAAAACATGATGGCATATGGGTAGTATGTGATTTAGTTCATGTTAGGAGAGGAAAACATGTGATGTTCCGTTGGCAGAAGTCTGCATGATAGTGAATATTCCTGTATATCATGTCATGTGTGGGACCTGCTTTTACTTTTATTTTTCAATAATCCTAATTTATAGGATTCGTTTCTGTTTTTCCTATAGTGATTATGTGATAGGATCATGGCTCTCACAAGGCAAAGATGCAAAGATCTTCAGTTACAGCATGTGAGCGGGTACCATATCCTTCAACTCCAGCAGAAAATTTGGTTTGGTTTTTAGAAGGAAGCATAAATTTTATTTTCGGGGCCAAATATTTAGAGCATTTAGATATCATTATGTAAAAAGGTGTTAAAATATGTTATTGGCTACATTTGAAAGGGGTTTGAATTGTACAAATGTCTATTAGTTTGGTGCAAAAGTCATTGCGGTTTTTGCCATTACTTTCAATGGCAAAAAACAGCAATGACTTTTGCACCAAACTAATAGCGATATGTGCAGATGATGGAGGCTCTGTAGCTCTTTCTACCAACTAGAATAACTAAACTCTAAAGAAGTAACTTTTCAGGAGAATTTGAACCATAATTGTCACTAACAATAATTATTTTACACAATAGATGGAGTTTGTTACTTGCAACTTCTACATGATGTTTTAAGAAAATTCTTTCTTTTCATTTAGCACCTCATTGTTGGTTTAAATAAATGCAAAATAACCGCTCATTTCCAGAAAGTTGGCAATAATGAATAGAGAAGTAATTCTGAATGTTAAGCAATAATATCCATATTTAAAATCTATATAAAACACTATCCTTAATTGTTTTCCAGTACAAGACAAGACATCAATCAATTAACTAAACAAAATAACAGGATATGCAAACCTCATTGAATGTATTTTAGTTTAGATAAAATTCTACTAAAGGTAATTATATAATATATTATCTACTAAAGGTAATTATATAATACATTATTTAGAGTTGTGGTAAATAAACTGTAGAAGCACAGAAAAGTAAAGATTGTAAAAGTACACGTTAGCAGAGCCTATCAAGGAATTCTCCAGGAATATAAAAATATGGTAAAACAATCTACAAGGACATATCTCTTGAAGATGTTGATGTATCAATACATTTGAATATAATTCCATTTATAGTTACAAAGATATATTACTATATATTTTTTCTTTCTATGTTTTAATCTTCTAATTATAACTTGACTTCCCAGGAATGTCCACTTAGAGAAAGAATAAGTGAAGCTGACTTTATTATTCCTCTTAATCGGTGGCGATATATCTTATTGAAAAATGAGAAGTTGCCTTTCTGATTTACATTTCAACCTCTGGGATGTTGTTTAATGTAATTCTGCCATGGAATAATGAATTTAGTTTTGTTTTGCTTAACAGTTAAATTGAGAAGCTTCTTTATTAGTGGATTCATGTCAGCAATGCTACCCTGTAAGGTCCACGATGAATGCCCAGCAGCTATCCTTTCCTGACGAGTCTCAGATAAGTTCTTACATTTCTTTTCATTAAGCTATTCTATTATCATTAATTTTCACTACTTAGTGAGAAAAGTCAAATGTCAATTTTGGAACCTTTGATGTATGCTTATTCTGTAGAAAGACACAAAAATAGTTCAACAGAGAAAATGAGCACAGGCAATAACAGACATATTTTTCTATACTTTTGTAAACTTATTTTATAGAAAACAAGTGTTTTATTGTTTTTAATTGCAGGAGTATAACAGTAATTCATGTTCATGTATTAATATTTTAGAGCAAGTATGATAAGGAAAACACAAGGTAATAATCACGAATAATTCTAATTTCAGAGATAAATTGTGATCTACACATTTCAATATATTGTGCATAATGTTGATTAATATGGTTGCATTATATTCCAGAAAGAAAGTGAAATGTATTAATTATGAAATTCTCTCATTTATTTTATTATTCTTTTATGTATTATTCTCTGTAAGCTTATAAATCTGCTTCTGTTATCTAATGCTGTTAATATAAATAACATTTTAAAGGTTATTATACATACAGTAGAAAGCCTTCTAAGTGACTTTTAACTAACTTGACAGGTTACTGCTTTCAATTATCTTGAAATAAGTACAGACTAATGCTCAAACTGAATATTTGCAGCTAATGAGCTACCCTTTCATCTGCATGTGTACTTACATTTTTGGTATGGAGTTAATCGCATTTGTGTCCAAACCAGTTATTTCATTTATACATGTTTTTATAACTACACAATTTAATTAAAACTAACCAAGCTAATGAAATAAGTGTGAAAGATATATCTTTGATAATATTGTTGAATAATTCAAAAACATGGTAAATTCAAATAATCAATAGAAACGTATTTAATTATTGGTAGGCATATCATCTATAAAGAATCACAGGAATTTGAAAAGCATCCCTGAGATTTTTTGAAAGCTGCTTTAGCACACTTTTAAGGCTTTGGTATTAGAATTTGCAGCCTACATACAGAAGTATCATTTTCATGTGAAGAAGAAGAGAGAGAAGAAACAAATCAGCAAGAGTAGGCTGCAATCTGTTCTGTATATTCAAGGAACCCTTACATGAAGAAACAGTGTTGTTCCTACATCTGAGCTGTCTTATAAACATAGCTTGTGCTTTTGCTTAAAATAAAACTGTTAAAATAGGAAAGTCAAATACTTGCTCAATTAACCTGCTGATTAGTGATCGACATCATGTCAGGTAAGAGAGTATTTAGTCATGCCAAACTGTCCTCCAGAAAGTTTGAACAGATGCACACTCCTTGCAGCAGTACACAAAATTGTCTGTTTCCCATGCCACTGCCAACTCCCAGCATTGGCATAGTTGAACATTTGTGGATTGCATGAATGAAATAAATTTACATGTATAAATATGCATTTTATTTACAATAAAATTTTACATTAAAATAACTGTACAATCATATTCCATTGAATTGCCTATTTATTTCCTTTACTAATGTTTTAATAAGTATTTTGATATTTCCTAATATCAAATTTATAATCAATATTTAATTATATTAACTAATTAATATTAATTAATTAATATCAATATTAATTAATTAATATCAATATTAATTAATATCGAATTTATATTAAAATTTTACAATAAGCTACTTCAGAAATTAATAGTTTATTCTTTATTTTGGAATTTACTTTCTTAAATGTTGATATTGTTTTAGTTATAAAGGGATGTTTATATTATAAAGTAAATGCACCAGTGTTTTCTGATTTGGTGTCTTGCTTTGAAAGACCTTTGCTGCGACACGCTTATATAAATATTAATTCTTATCTACTTCTGTTTCTTTATATTTAAATAACTGATATATCTGTAATTTATTTTAACAAGGTTAACTAATTTTGGAAGTTACTCATTGAATTCCTATCTTTCTATTACAATAACATTACAAACAAAATATCCATGAACATTTACATGCACACACACATGCACTTATTTGTCGTGATTGCTCCACTGAGTATAATTTTATTGCCAGGCTTTATCATGTTTTTTAATACTGTGAAGTGGGTGGCTTCACATTGCTTTTTATTTTTAATTCATTTCTCGCTATCTTCTTTCAGTTGTTATTCGAATATTTTTAGCTCTTAGGGAGGCTGAGGCGGGTGGATCACCTGAAGTCAGGAGTTTGAGACTAGCCTGGCCAACATGGTGAAGCCCTGTCTCTACTAAAAATATGAAACTTAGCTGGGTGTGGCAGCATGTGCCTGTGATCTCAGCTACTCTGGAGGCTGAGGCAGGAGAATCACTTGAACCCGGGAGGTGGAGGTTGCAGTGAGCTGAGATCGTGCCACTGCACCCCAGCCTGGGTGACAGAGTGAGACTCCATTTCAAAAAACAAAAACAAAAACAAAAAAACAAATACTCTATCAACTTTGTCAAGATCAATTTGGGTAAAATTGACCACTCTATAATATGAACCAATATTCCAAGGGATGTTACCCTTCTATATATGTTCTCCTCTCTTTCTTTAACATCTTATTTATGTCTTTTACATTAAATATAATATTGATCTTCCTATATATCCTTTTCATTTTATTTTGATTAAATTTATTCTTGGTTACATGAATTGTACTTGCTAAAGAATTACTTTATAATTTTTATATTTTCTATGTTAGTTTTGTATTTATTGTTCCAAATTTTAACGTATATTTCATTCATTTAGATTTTTCAGACATATAATTGTACCACATGCACACAATTAATGAAAACGTTTGTTTTCTTTCTATTATTTATTAGCCATACATTTTTCTTGACAATTTGCATTAGTTAAACCCTACAAAGCCCCCAAAAACTAATGAAATAAATACAGGCATACCTTTATTGTGCTTCACTTTATTGCACTTTGCAAATACTGTTTTTTTTTTCTTTTTATGAATTGAAGACTTGTGGCAACTCTGCAGCCAGCAAGAGTATCGACAGTATTTTTTTTAAACAAGATATGCAAGATGTGCTCATTTTTTGTCTCTGTGTCACATTTTGGGAATTCTCACATTTCAAACTTTATCATTACTATTTTATCTGTTATGGTGATCTCTGATTAGTAATCTTTGAAATTACTATTGTAAATTCTTTGGAAGCACCACAGACCATGCCATATAAGATGGCAAACTTAATTAATAGATGTGCCTGTTCTGACTACTCCACTGATCAGGTGTTCCCGTTTCCCTCCCTCTCTTTAGACCTCCCTATTCCCAAAGACACAACAATATTGAAATCAGGCCAATTAATAACCCTACAATGGCCTCTCTAGGTGAAAAAAAGAGTGAAAAAAAGTAGAAAAAGAGTCACAGACCTCTTATTATGAATCAAAAGCTAGAAATGATTAAGTTTAGTCAGGAAGGAATGCCAAAAGCCTAGATAAGCTGAAAGCTAAACCTCGTGTGATGAACAGCCAAGTGTGAATGCAAAGGAAGAGTTCTTGAAGAAAATTTAAAACGCTACTCCAGTGAATACACAAATGATAAGAATTTTTTTAAAAAAGCCCTGTTGCTGATATGGAGAAAGTTTTAGTGGTCTAAATATAAGATCAAAACAGCCACATTCCCTTAAGTCAAAGCCCAGTCCAGAGCAAGGCTCTAACTGTCTTCAATTCTATGAAGGCTTAGAGAGGTGAGGAAACTACAGAAGAAAAGTTTGAAACTAGCACAGCTTGATTCATGACATTGAAGGAAGAAATCCATCTCCATAATAAAAAATACTGCAAGGTGAAGTAGCAAGTGCTGATGTAGAAGCTGCAGCAAACAATCCAAAAGATGTAACTAAGGTCATTAAAGATGGTAACTACACAAAACAGCTGCTTTTCAATGTAGATAAAACATTCTAATGGAAAAAGATGCCATCTAAGACTTCCATAGCTAGAGAGAAAAAGTCAATGCCTTGCTTTAAAGCTTCAAAAGACAGGCTGTTTCTTGTGTTAGGGGCTAATGCAGCTGGTGACTTTAATTTAAAGCCAATGTTCATTTACCATTCAAAAAAATACTGAGGGCCTTTAAGAATTATGCTAAATATACTCTGTTTGTGTTATATAAATGGAATAACAAAGTCTGGATGACAACTCATCTGTTTACAGTATGGTTTAGTGAGTATTTTAAGCCCACTTTTGAAACCTACTGCTCAGGAAAAAAGATGTTTTCAATATATTGCTGTTCATTGACAATTCACTTTTTCATTCAAAACCTCTGATGAAGATATACAAAAAGATTAATTTTTTTTGCCTGCTAACAAAACTTTCATTCTCCAGCCTATGAATCAAAAAGTACTTTCTACTTCCAAGTCTTATTTGACAAGTACATTTTTAAAGCTATTGTTGCCGTAAATAGTGATTCCTCTGATGGATCTGAGTGAAGTAAACTGAAAACCTTCTCGAAAGGATTAACCATTCTTGATGCCATTGAAAACATTCATGATTCACGGGAAAAGCTTATATTAGCAACATGAACAGGAATTGGGAGGAAGTTGATTCCAACCCCCATAGATGACTTTGAGGGACTCAAGGCTTCAGTGGAGGAAGTAACTGCAGATGTGGTGGAAATAGCAAGAGAACTAGAATTAGAAGTGACACCTGAGGAAGTGATTGAATTTTTGCAATCTCGTGTTAAAACTTGAACAGATGAGGAATTGCTTCCTGTGGATGAGCAAAGAAAATAACTTATTGAAATGGAATCTACTCCTGGTAATGTTGTGAACATTGTTGAAAGGACTGAAAATATTAAGAATATTTCAAAAACTTAGTTGACAAAACAGTGGCAAGTTTTAAGAGGAAAGACTTCAATTTTGAAAGAAGTTCTTCTGTGGGTAAGATGCTATCAAACAACATCACATGCTACAGAGAAATCTTTTATGAAAGGAAGAGTCACTCAATGAAGCAAATTCATTGTTGTCGATTTTAAGAAATTGGAACAGCCACTCCAGCCTTCAGCAACCACCATCCTGATCAGTCAGCAGCTATTGGTAACAAGGTAAGATCATCCACCAGCTAAACAATTACCAACTTGCCAAAGGCTCAAATGTTCGTTAGCATTTTTAGCAATTCATTATTTTTAATTAAAGTATGTGGATTGCTATTTAGACATAATGCTTTGCACACTTATTAGACTACCACAGTGCATAAACATAACTTTTATATGCACTGGGAAATCAAAACAATTGTGTTCCTTTCTTTATTGCAATTTTTGCTTCATTGTGGTAGTTTGAAATAGAACCTGCAAATGTCTTTTAGTTATGACTGTATAGTCAATCCTTTGTAAGAGTTGGTTACACATCCATGGATTCAATCAACCATAGATCAAAGATATTGAAGGAAAAAAAAGGATGATTGTGTATGTACCAAGCATGCACAAACTCATATTCTTGTCATTATTCTCTAAGAAATATGGTACATAGTATTCCATGGTGTATATGTGCCACATTTTCTTAATCCAGTTGTGCACATGTACCCTAAAACTTAAAGTATAATAATAAAAAAAGAATCAAATACCAGAGGGAAAAAAAAGAAAAATTAAGTATCTCTTTAAGATGTTGAGAAATAAACAATCTGATCAAGAAAAAAAAAAGAAATATGGTACAAAAACCATTTATATAGTATTTTCATAAGACTGGTGTTATAAGTAATCTGAAGTTGAGTTAAAATGCATGGAAAGATGTGTATATGTTATATGTACATACTCCACTATTTTATATGCTTGAGCATCTGTGGATTTTTCTATTTGTGGGAGTACTGGAATTGATGCCCTATAGATTCCTAGAGATGACTAGGTATTTCATAGTATATGTATTCAATGTATATAATTCATAATATACATATTATAAAACACAGTAGTATTGTAGACAGAGTGAAGTCTTCTTTTTCTTTTCTTCCAATCTTAACACGGTCTTTGTAAGAGACTTCCAAAATAGTGAATATGTATAAATCCTTTAAGCCAAGGTGTATGTATGTATGTATGTGCATATACCAGTGTGTGTACATTCTTGAGCAATATGCAATACTATTTTCTGTGTTTTTGTCAATTCTTACAAAATTAGCCAGTGTGTGTTTGTATGTTTTTTCTATTGGCTTTTTTATTGTTTTCAAATTTCTATGTTGTAAAATATAGAACTACTTTTTAATGTTATTACTGTATATTATTTATTTAATTAAATGTTACACAATTTAATTTTACTATACTGTGTTGATAGATATATTGTTTATTTCCAAATATTTACTATTACAAAATGCTTTAATTAACATCATTTGACATGATTACTGGTGCATGGCTAATATCTTGATAGCTTACAAACCCAAAGAATAAAGTACCTCAAGAATACATTCACTCTAAAAGAAAAATGGTACATTAGATTACAGGTCTCACAGGAACAGAAGTTTTAGAATAAATACATTAATAATTATGAGAAAAAGTGTGCAATTTATAAAAAATAAACAGGTGAATTATTAGATCTAAGCATACAGTAGTTGAAATCGTGTATATTAAAGACACATTTAAGAGCAAAGTCATCACAAATAGAAATAAATTAAGAAATGGAAAGAGACTTAAAATTTCCCAAAGATTAAGTGAAACAAATAGAAAATATAAAAACAAAAGTTATGACAATTGAGAAACAGAATTAGAAGTGCTATTATCCATTTCTAAAGAGTTTTAGAAAGTGGAAAAAATTAAAATGGACATAGAAAACTTTTCATAAAATATTTTGCATAATAAATGGATGTCAGTTTTCCATAATTAAAAAACTGGTGAAATAATTCATACTGAAAGATACTTGAGTAGCAAAGAGAGGGATCCATAAAAGAAACAACATATCTAGACATAATAGTGAAATTTTAATGAATCAATGACAAGGCGAATCCTAAATTATATCAAAGATAAAACAGATCAGCTGAAAAGGGATAAAGGTCAAATCAACATCATTTTTTTCCACAAAAACAATGATTACAGGACAATATTGGGATCATATTGGAAGAAGAGAAACAACTTAGAATTTTTTATTCAGCTAGCTGCCATTCAGAAAAAAAGTATATGATAAAAACATTCTCAGGCATATAGGCAGAAGGAAGCTTGCCAAAGAAAATAAAGAACATTGAAAATTGTTGGACATGAGTAGAAATAGGAAGAGAGAAGTCCTTTAGATACTATAAAAAATATTTACAAAAATATCATATAATTTGATATTTGTTATCTTTTACCTTTTTTTCTTGAACATTTAAAAAATGTTGAGATAAGTGTAGATTTGCATGCGGTTGTAAAGAAGTAATATAGAGAGATTCTATGTAACCTATACCCAGTTTCCCCCTGTGATTAAACAACTACATAATTTTAAAAAAATTAAAATACAAGAGGACAATTATTTGCATGGCATTTAAATTGTCTTAGATATTATAAGTAATTCAAGATGTTTTAAAGTATAGGGAAGAAGTGCATAGGTTAAATACTATATCATTTTATATAAGGGACTTCAGTATCCTGAGACTTTGATATCCATGGGGGTCCTGGAACCAATTCCCCACAAATACCAAGGTAGAAGGGACACATGTATATAAGTTTTAGGCTTGGCTCTTTAAATTCAGTATGTTTCTTTGGCTATTCACCCAGGTTTTTGCATGTATCAATAGTTACTTCCTTTTGGGAGTTGAGTAATATTCTATGGTATGGAAGTCCCACTTGTTTATTTAACCATTCACTCATTAAATGACTTTTGGGTTGTTTCTAGTTTTGGGCTACTAAGAATTAATTTCTGTAAACATTTATATACAGGTTTTGGTGTGAAAATAAGTTTTTATTTCCCTTAGATAATTACGGGAAGTGCAATTTCTGGGTTTTGTGGTTGCTACATGTTTAGTTTTGTTTGTGTATCTGTTTTGTTTTTTTTTTTTTTTTCAGAAACTGGCAAACTGTTTTATAGAGTGGCTGCAACATTTTACATTCTTGACAGCAATCTGTAAGTGGCAGTTTCCTCACATCCTAGTCAGCTTTTGGAGTTTTTGCTCATTTTTATTTTAGCTATTTTCAGAAGTGTGTTGTAATATTTCATTATGATATTAATTTGAAATTTATGTACAATGTTTATGTGATTATTTGCCATCTATATGTCTTTTTTGGCTAAATGTCTTTTCTTGCATTTTTTTCCATGCTTGCTTGTTTTTACAGCTGAGTTTTAAGAGTTCTTTACAGCTGAGTTTTAAGAGCTCTTTAAATTTTAGTTATTAAATTTTTGGATATTTGGTTTAAAAATATTTCCCCCATCTATGAACAAGATTAATCTAAAATTCATCTGGAAAGGCAAAGGAACTAAAACAGCCAAAAAACTTTGAAAAAAAGGAAGAATAAGTTCAGAGTTTCAATTAATCTAATTTCAAGATGTAATATAATTACAGTAATCAATGTATGATATTAGTGAAGACACAAGGATGAACAGAATAGGGAATTAATAAAGAGACACACACAAACATGACCAACTGATATTTATTGAAAATGCAAGCGTAATTTAATGGGGGAAAATAGCCTTTCAGAAAAATAAAAATTAAAAAAACACGCCTTATACAAAATTTAGACAAAATGCATTATGGATGTAAATGTAAAATCGAAATTATAAAAATTTTAGAAACATATATCATATAAACATAGGAGACAGTCTTCAGGATCTAGTGATGGGCAAACAGTTCTTAGGCTTGCTATTAAAACCACAGTAAAAGAAAACATTGATAACTTAGACTTCATTAAAATTAAATATTTTTCCTCTAAAGAGAAACAACACGAGTAGGAAAAGACAAGCTACAGACTCTTATCTTAAAAAAATGTGTAATCAGAAATTAAAAGAGAAATTGTCTCTGTAATCTAACATTTATGATAAAAATACAGATATCAATTCAAATATATGTTTAAAAAAGAATAAACAGATGAAGGTACATGCCTGTGTATATGCATAAAGTAAGGTTAGAGAAACAGTAAGAGAAAATTGCAAAGAGAATAGATCTTAAATGTCCTCACAACACACAAAAAAATGAATAACTATGTATATCAGTACTACATTAAGTATAAATTGATTAAACAAGTAGAAGATAAAGTTTGACAAATTGAATATAAAATATAAATATGAGTTTCTTAAAATAATCATCTCTATAATATAAGTGCATACAAAATTTGAAAATTAAAGGAAGGAAAATATTCAGGTAAATACTTAAATGAAATATGGATTATTTGGATCAGCATTAGATAAAATAGACTGTAAGATTGGTTAGGGATGGTGAGGAGCATCATATAATCGTACCAGTGTTCATGAGAAAAAGTATAACACTCTGATGAAAATTTTCAACCAACAAAATAGCTTCAAATTACAAGTATATGAGAAACTGATAAACCCATTAGCCTACTGAGAAATCATCAACCAATCACACTTGATAATTAATAGGTTAAGGAAATGTTCAGTTAAATTATAGAAGATCTGAATACCAAAATCAACAGGTGTAGTATTGTGTCCGGAATTTGGTGGGTTCTTGGTCTCACTGACTTCAAGAATGAAGCCGAGGACCCTCGCGGTGAGTGTTACAGTTCTTAAAGATGGTGTGTCCGGAGTTTGTTCCTCCTGATGTTCGGACATGTTCAGAGTTTCTTCCTTCTGGTGGGTTCATGTTCTCGCTGGCTTCAGGAGTGAAGCTGCAGACCCTTGCGGTCAGTGTCACAGCTCTTAAGGCAGTGCGTCTGGAGTTGTTTGGTCCTCCCGTCTGGAGTTGTTCATTCCTCCTGGTGGGTTCATGGTCTCGCTGGCCTCAGGAGTGAAGCTGCAAACCTTCACGGTGAGTGTTATAGCTCATAAAGGCAGTGTGGACCCAAACAGTGAGCAGCAGCAAGATTTATTGCAAAGAGCGAAAGAACAAAGCTTCCACAGGTGGAAGGAGACCCGAGTGGGTTGCCACTGTTGGCTCTGGCAGCCTGCTTTTATTCCCTTATCAGGCCCCACCCACATCCCACTGATTGGTTCACTTTACAGAGAGCTGATTGGTCTGTTTTATAGAGAGCTGATTGATCTGTTTTGACAGGTGCTGATTGGTGCATTTACAATCCCTGAGCTAGACACAAAAGTTCTCCAAGTCCCCACTAGATTAGCTAGACACAGAGCACTGATTGGTGCATTTACAAACCTTGAGCTAGACACAGAGTGCTGATTGGTGTGTTTACAAACCTTGAGCTAGACACAGAGTGCTGACTGGTTTATTTACAATCCCTTAGCTAGATATAAAGGTTCTCCAAGTCCCCACTAGATTAGCTAGACACAGAGCGCTGATTGATGCATTTACAAACCTTGAGCTACACACAGGGTGCTGACTGGTGTATTTACAATCTCTTAGCTAGACATAAAGGTTCTCCAAGTCCCCACCAGATTAGCTAGATACAGAGTGCTGATTGGTGCACTTATAAACCTTGAGCTAGAGACAGGGTGCTGATTGGTGTGTATACAATCCTCCAGCTAGACATAAAGGTTCTCCAAGTCCCCACTAGACTCAGGAGCCCAGCTGGCTTCACCCAGTGGATCCCGCTTTGGGGCCGCAGGTGGAGCTGCCTGCCAGTCCCATGCTGAATGCCTGCACTCCTCAGCCCTTGGGTGATCGATGGGACTGGGTGCTGCTCGTCTGGGAGGCTCGTGCCGCGCAGGAGCCCACGGTGGGTGGGGGAGGCTTTGGCATGGCAGGCTGCAGGTCCCAAGCCCTGCCCCACGGGGAGGCAGCTAAGGCCTGGAGAGAATTCGAACGCAGCACCAGTGGGCCAGCACTGCTGGGGGACTCGGCGCACCCTCTGCAGCTAGCCCAGGTGCTAAGCCCCTCACTGCCCAGGGCTGGCAGCGCCAGCCAGCTGCTCTGAGTGTGGGCCCTGCTGAGCCCACGCCCACACAGAACTAGCGCTGGCCCCCAAGTGCTGTGTGCACCCCGGTTCCCGCCCATGCCTCTCCCTCCATACCTCCCCGCAAGCAGAGGGAGCCCACTCCAGCCTCAGTAAGCCCAGAGAGGGGCTCCCACAGTGTAGCAGCAGGCTGAAGGGCTCCTCAAGCATGGCCAGAGTGGGCACCAAGGCTGAGGAGGCGCCGAGAGTGAGCGAGGGCTGCCAGCACGCTGTCACCTCTCAGTATTGTATACTTGAAAATTCCTAAGAGACTAGATCTTAAATGTCCTCATCACACACACACAAAGGGATAAGTATATCAGATGATAGATATGTAAATTAGCTTTATTGTAATCATTTCACAAAGTATACATCTATCAAACATCACATTATACAGCATAGATATATACAATTTTTATTGCCAATTATATATTAGGGAGGTGGTATATTAGTCCATTTTCACACTGCTGATAAATACATATCTGAGACTGAGAAGAAAAAGAGGTTTAATTGGACTTACAGTTCCACATGTCTGGGAGGCCTCAGAATCATGGCAGGAGGCGAAAAGGACTTCTTACATGGTGGTGGCAAGAGAAAATTAGAGAGATGCAAAAGTGGAATCCCTTGATAAAACCATCAGATCTTGTGAGACTTATTCATTACCAAGAGAAAAGTGTGGGGGAACCACCCCTATGATTCAAATTATCAATTTATCAAATAAATAAAATGTTTGGAAAAAAATTAAATTGCCAAGCTAACTAGATAGTACTGCAATTCTTGAAATATAAAATAGAAATTAATATCACTAACATATTAAAGCTTAACATTTTATAAACTATTTGAGAACAATAAATATGCTCATAATAAAAAAGAAGTAATTTGATTATCCTTGCTTAAACTAAAACAAAAACCACAAAAAATTGTACTTTTGCAAATTCAGCTGAGGCAACTATTTTTGTTGAGAGAATTTGTTATTCAGCCTTCTCAATGAAATGTTTTCCCTTACTCATCATCTGACAGAATTTCGACTCATGCATTTGCCAGGTCACCTTTAAGTTGTGCCAGTGAATATTAGTGGGGTGTCAGATAGTCACACACTTTCTATATGCAACAATCGTATTGTGTAAGAAAGCTAAGGCATATAAACATGAAACACTGACTACAACTTTGTAACATGTAGGCTCTGAAAAGGATATTAACAGCCTGATGTGCAATCCATACACTCAGACTAAAAGATTCTCACTAAAGTAGAAATTAAACTGTAGTGAAGAACATTGAAAGGAATCAGTGTTGCTTAAACAAATGAGGGAAATTTCTTTTTGTGAGTGTTCTGGGGGAATAGGTGTGAGAAAGCTGTCTTCAGATAGCCCTTCCCTGTATTCTCTAGAAAATCTCTGTGGCCCAGTAGTTAAAATGGAAACAAACAGGGAAACCATCATTACAGCAATACAGGAAGAATAATTAAATTATAACAATAATTTTAAAGAAAAATACACTTATCTGTCACATTTTATTTTGTCTATAAAGTTTCTTACATTACCTTCAGCATTGTCCAAGGATGGCATTTTCTACTTTGGGCTATGATGGATGAATTGCTGCCAATTGGGTATGTTACCATACTGACTTAATGACCACTTGGCAAATGTATTTCTGAGAAAAATCTAATAATTAGCATAAGAAGAGTGGTGGGGCAACATTTATTTTAGAACATATTACAAGCTCTGTACTTCATAATGGTATATAGTTGAATAGGGATTTTTTTGCATTATTTGCATAATTTTAAAGGTTTCCTCTTAACATATGACAGTTCTTTTGAAGAATGCTTCTAATTCTAGATTATCTAGAAATAATATGTGATGAGTCTTTGCACTTTCCATTCATATTGCATATAATGCTTCTAAAAAAATGGGCGGCCGTATGTTATAATTTCTTCTTCTGTAAGGAAAAGGAATGCATATGACTCATAGCAGTTATAAAGGTTGAATTACTAATTCTGAAATTTCAAACCATAGTTAAATTAACATTTTTGATGTGAAAGTCAGATTGTGATGCAATTAATGTTAAATGAGGTTTTAAAGGGCTTAAACCTTAGAACTCAGGAGTCTGTACCAAAAAAAACAAAACTTCTGATTTTTTTAATTTAAAAATTCAATAAAATTTTGTGGCAATTATTTTGAAATTTCTAACATAATTCTTAAATAATAGAATCACTTATCATTGTGTTTTCCATTACATTTTTTTGTGTAATGTCATGGTAACACAAAACTTTTCTTTGAGATTTTCATACATTATAATTTTAAGATTTTAAGATTTCTCAAAGACCAAAAATCTGATCTGTCACACTTTATTTTATCTGGAAAACTTTAAATGCAATTTTTCTGTTTTCAGGGATTAAATTAACTTTGAGTTGCATTTTTGGATTTATAATTTAGGTTATTCCAATTCAACAGTTTAATTAAATTAGATCATTTTTCCTTCTTTAGAAAAATGTCAAGATACTATAATTCACACACAGAAAGCATTACAAGTAGTTTAATATAAAAATAAAGATGTGATGTTGCTCACGTAGTGTTTTTAAAAATTCTCCTTCTGTTCAATTATTTTTCTCTAAATATTCATTATGTGATTATAAAAGCTGCCATATTTTAGGGGAATATAACAAATTCTTACATTTCACTGGCTAATTTAGATTGGAAAATTTAGAGCTAGG
Organism: Homo sapiens; assembly: GCF_000001405.40. Classification (NCBI taxonomy): domain Eukaryota; kingdom Metazoa; phylum Chordata; class Mammalia; order Primates; family Hominidae; genus Homo; species Homo sapiens. The sequence goes on from NC_000002.12 coordinate 194,005,760, forward strand.
CAACTATTTTGTGTACAAGCTTTGTAAATTCAAGTCTCAGCTTTCTTGTATATGAAATATGAGATACAACAGTGCATTCTTTAAATGTTGTTCTAAGAAATAATTAAGAAAGCATATGTAAATGCTAGGCATTATATCGTATGCTAACATTTTATTGAATATTCAATTAACTTACTAACTTCAAATTTACTTTACACTAATGAAATTGGCAAACATGGGAAGATAGATAGTCTAAATTGCATTTACTTAGGTGAGCAACAGGAGCTCTCTTGAGATAGTGGTGGGAGAAAAAGAGCTTGTATGCATTCTAAAGAGCAATCTGGTAACATTCTGTGAAATTAAGTACCTGTGTCTCATTGCCCTGTTATTCTGATCATGTGAAACTTTCACCTGGGCTTCTAAAAAACCCTGCATTAGGAAGGTCACTGTGGCATTTAGGGAATAAAGGAGTTTGAGGCTGCCTAGGTGTATATAACTGAAGAAACCAACACAAAATATTTATTGCATGAGAAGTATATAGTACAATGCAATAGTCTGAAAAAATAAACTAAATATTAATAATATTCAACATCATTTTGAGATTTTCAATGTCTGTATGAGGACACATGAGCACTGTTTTGTAATATCTCTTATAGTGCATTGGGTTGAAAAACAGCTAGCTGACATTCCATTGTAACTTTGAGGCACTTTATTTATTATGTTGCATGTAATATTCATGTAATCTTCAAAACAACTCACATTTAACAGTATGTAAACTGAAATGCAATAAAGGTAAAATAACTTACACAAGTCCTATACCTAATAAATAGTAAGGTCAAAATTGATATAATGATTTATTTGATTCAGGGTCGGGTGTGGTGTCTCACATCTGTAATCCCAGCATTTTGGAAGGCTGAGGTGGGTGGACCACTTGAGGTCGGGAGTTCAAGACCAGCCTGACCAACATGGTGAAACCCTGTCTCTGCTAAAATTACAAAATTAGCCGGGCATGGCGGTGCATGCCTGTATCCCAGCTACCTGGGAGGCTGAAACAGGAGAATCACTTGAACCCAGGCGGAGGAGTTTGCAGTGAGCTGAGACTGCACCATTGCATTCCAGCCTGAGCAACAAGAGTAAAACTCAATACCAAAAAAAAAAAAATGATCTATTTGATTCAAAAGTCCATGTTCTTAACAGCCAAGAATTCCTTTGGCCTATTAATTTCTGCAAGAAACATTATATAGATCCTTTGTTCAGAATATAAGGCATATGTAACACAAAGTGTATCAGTCATTGTCTGATCCGCAGGGAATATCAGAGAGTCATTCAGACCCAAGTATGGCTAAAAATTTATTTGTTTCTGATTTCAGAAAATTAATAGTAAGAAATATAATTGCTAAAGGAAATAATGTATGTAATTCCAGATTTCCACATTGGCTTTTTGCACAAAAACTGAGAAAATAAATTTTAATAATTAGGTTTCATGGTTAGCTTATAGAAAATAAATAATTGTCTCCTTGTCTACAGTTGCTTTGAAAATCCAGAAATATTTACTACCACTACCCCTAGAACTCCACAGGAAAGGTATACTTCCTTGTCTTATTGCTACTGAACTTAATATGTAACTTGCTTTGGCCAATGGAATACTAGGGCTTGTGATGTGACTGGTGAATTGAATGTACTAGTTCAATTGGATTAGTAGTCTTGAATTCCTGCCTTTCCCGATAAGAATATGGCTTAGATATTCACTGGTGTTAGTATTTAAGGCACCTGGAGCATTCTTGATCCAAACTTACAGTCTGAGACAAGGTTAAGTCCATATTATATCAACTAAATGCTAGCTAACACACAGATGTGTATGCAAAAAGAAAATGAACAATTAAATGATCATTGTTGTATGTTGCAGAATTTTTGAGATGAATTCCTTATATAATATTTGTGAGACAATGCAAAATAATTCATAATTTGGTGCAAGGTATGGGGTAAAATGTATGTGACATTGTCTTGATAACTGGCATCAGAAAACCGTTATAGGAGATCAGAAAAATGCTAATGGATGTCAAACGGTAGCGAAACATTTAGTAAAAGTTGAAATAGTGGACACTTACTTAATGAACTTGTAGTGTTAGTAGTAATTCTTGGTCAAATATTAAAAGTGTAACTGGTTTATGTAATAGCAAAACAGGAAACAGAGTCTAAAAAGAATTTGCCAGTTTATAAGCAGAATTTAGAGGAAATATGGATAGACTAAAAATTCAGAGGTGGAAAATAAAACTATTTCTCAACAAGTCAAATTTCTGGCTATGAAGAGAAAGTTTCATACGAATACAAAATCAACAGTATGGCTGTGACACCCTTTTCTAAGACCTCTGAAGGTGTGTAGTGGATCTTTCTAGCTCCACAAAAGAGCTTCTAAAAAGCTTGAGGACATTGTGCTGTAGAATCTTGATATGACAAAATTCTGTATAATTAAGTCTAGAGGACAGATTATCGAGAGAGAAAGAGTGAGAGAAAGATCACAATACTTGATTGTAGCATAAGAAGAAGAAAATATGTATTAAAGAGAGTAGAGCAGATAGTTTTAAGTACGCACATCATCCTTTCCCCAACTCCAGGCAGTGCAACATAGAGAGTGTATTAGTCCATTTTCATGCTGCTGATAAAGACATACCCAGGACTGGGCAATTTACAAAAGAAAGAGGTTTAGTGGACTCACAGTTCCACATGGCTGGGGAGAACCTCATAATTATGATGGAAGGCAAAAGGCACATCTCACATGGTGGCTGGCAAGAGAAGAAAATGAGATCCAAATGAAAGGGGTCTCCTCTTATAAAACCATCAGATCTCATGGGACTTATTCACTACCATGAGAACAGTATGAGGGAACCTGCCCCATGATTCAATTATCTCCCACTGGGTCCCTCTCACAACATAAGTGAATTATGGAGCTACAATTCAAGATGAGATTTGGGTGGGGACACAGCCAAACAATATCAGAGAGAGACCCATTTGCTTGAGGGAAAAAGAAGGAAGTGAGCATAGGACTTTGCTTTGGTACCAAACACTGGGCCCACCACAGTAAAATCCAGTGCCAGGCAGACCCCTACAGTTCCAGAATCCAGACAGGTACCCATAAACAGAGTTTCCTGTGCTTCTCCACCATCAGGTGAGAACCCATAGTCCCTGCAAAATGGACTCAATCTTTGGCCCAAATCCTCACCAACTGACTGCAGTGGACTTGGGTTCCAGACAAACCTCAGCAACAGGCAAGCTTCAAAGGATTTGCATGCACCCCAGTGCTACATGAGCTTTGGGGGCCACAGGATTACAACCCTGGGCTACTCCAGATGCAGTGATCATGGGCTTAGTGCTCCCGCTAGCACTGCAACAGCTGCTGTGGTCACAAGCTTAGAGATCACACCAGACAACCTGCCCAGAATCTGTGCACAGGCTTACTGTTAACGGTAATTACCAGACAAAGCTAAACTGTAAAAACTGGAATAATTACCTACTTCTCCAATGAACAGACATAGATGCACAATGACAAGAATCAAGAACAGTGAGGCAAACATGAACATAAACAAATGAACAAAATAAAGTGGCAGTGACTGACCCAAAATAAATGGAGATGTATAAACTTCTTGACAAATAATTCAAAATTGCTGTGTTGGGGAAGCTCAGCAAACCTCAAGAGAATATAGATAAAATATTTAACAAATAAGAAAAACAAGGAAGAGATCAGAACAAGAAATTTAATAGAGAATTGGAGTTTTACAAAAATAAATTCTGGTGCTGAAAAATGCAATGAACAGAATGAAAAATGCAATAGATGGCATCAACAGAAGTACAGATTAAAGAGAAGAATTTGTTGAATACAGGTTATTTGAAAATATAGTCAGAGAAGAAAAGAAATTAAGGATAAAGGGAAATAAAGAAAGGGTATGAGATATATGAGATACCACCAAAAGGGGTAATATTTGCATTATTGGAGTGTAAGAGATAATAAAGAAAGACAGTGGTAGAAACGTCATTAAAAAAAACAATAGCAGAAAACTTTTCAAACCTGCAAAAAGACATAAATATAAAGGTACAGGAAGGTCAAAGGTCACCAATCAAATTCAATACAAATAAAACTACCCAAGACATATTATAATCAAATTGTCCAAGATCAAATAGAAAGAGGATTCTGAAAGCAGTCAGAAAAAAGAAACAGCATACAAGGGAATGCTTCCAGTTTTTGCCCATTCAGTATGATATTGGCTGTGGGTTTGTCATAAATAGCTCTTATTATTTTTAGATATGTCCCATCAATACCTAATTTATTGAGAGTTTTTAGCATGAAGGGCTGTTGAATTTTGTCGAAGGCCTTTTCTGCATCTATCGAGATAATCATGTGGTTTTTGTCTTTGGCTCTGTTTATATGCTGGATTACATTTATTGATTTGCATATATTGAACCAGCCTTGCATTGCAGGGATGAAGCCCACTTGATCATGGTGGATAAGCTTTTTGATGTGCTGCTGGATTCAGTTTGCCAGTATTTTATTGAGGATTTTTGCATCAATGTTCATCAAGGTTATTTGTCTAAAACTCTCTTTTTTGGTTTTGTCTCTGCCTGGCTTTGGTATCAGGATGATGCTGGCCTCATAAAATGAGTTAGGGAGGATTCCCTCTTTTTCTATTGATTGGAATAGTTTCAGAAGGAATAGTACCAGTTTCTTCTTGTACCTCTGGTAGAATTCGGCTGTGAATCCATCTGGTCCTGGACTCTTTTTGGTTGGTAAGCTATTGATTATTGCCACAATTTCAGCTCCTGTTATTGGTCTATTCAGAGATTCAACTTCTTCCTGGTTTAGTCTTGGGAGAGTGTATGTGTCGAGGAATTTATCCATTTCTTCTAGATTTTCTAGTTTATTTGCATAGAGGTGTTTGTAGTATTTTCTGATGGTAGTTTGTATTTCTGTGGGATCAGTGGTGATATCCCCTTTATCATTTTTTATTGCATCTATTTGATTCTTCTCTCTTTTTTTCTTTATTAGTCTTGCTAGTGGTCTATCAATTTTGTTGATCCTTCCAAAAAACCAGCTCCTGGATTCATTAATTTTTGAAGGGTTTTTTGTGTCTCTATTTCCTTCAGTTCTGCTCTGATTTTAGTTATTTCTTGCCTTCTGCTAGCTTTTGAATGTATTTGTTCTTGCTTTTCTAGTTCTTTTAATTGTGATGTTAGGGTGTCAATTTTGGATCTTTCCTGCTTTCTCTTGTGGGCATTTAGTGCTATAAATGTCCCTCTACCCACTGCTTTGAATGTGTCCCAGAGATTCTGGTATGTTGTGTCTTTGTTCTCATTGGTTTCAAAGAACATCTTTATTTCTGCCTTCATTTTGTTATGTACCCAGTAGTCATTGAGGAGCAGGTTGTTCAGTTGCCATGTAGTTGAGTGGTTTTCAGTGAGTTTCTTAATCCTGAGTTCTAGTTTGATTGCACTGTGGTCTGAGAGACAGTTTGTTATAATTTCTGTTCTTTTACCCTGCTATAAAGACACATGCACACGTATGTTTGTTACGGCACTACTCACAATAGCAAAGACTTGGAACCAACCCAAATGTCCACAAATGATAGACTGGATTAAGAAAATGTGGCACATATACACCATGGAATACTATGCAGCCATAAAAAAGGATGAGTTCATGTCCTTTGTAGGGACATGGATGAAGCTAGAAACCATCATTCTCAGCAAACTATCGCAAGGACAAAAAACCAAACACCACATGTTCTCACTCATAGGTGGGAATTGAACAATGAGAACACTTGGACACAGGAAGGGGAACATCACACACCAGGGCCTATTGTGGGGTTGGGGGAGGGGGAAGGGATAGCATTAGGAGATATACCTAATGTAAATGATGAGTTAATGGGTGCAGCACACCAACATGGCACATGTATACATATGTAACAAACCTGCACATTGTGCACATGTACCCTAGAACTTAAAGTATAATAAATATATATATATATATAACAAAAACAAAAAATAAGAAACAACATATAAAGTAATTCCAATATACCTTGCAGCAGACTTCCCAGCAGAAACCTTACAGGCTAAGAGGGAGTGGAATGATAAATTCAAAGTGCTGAAGCATAAAGCCTGCCAATCAAGAATACTGTATCCAGATGCTAAAGAGCAACCCAAAACATCTCATCTGAAAGTACAAAACTCACTGATAAAAGTAAATACACAGTGAAATTTAGAATTTTCTAAGTCTATAATGGTGGTATGTAAATCACAGAACTTTAGTGTGAAGGATAAAAACAAAACTATTAAAACATAAAAACTACAAAAACTTGTTAAGGAATATGCAATAGAAAAAAAATGTAAATTGTTACATCAAAAATTCAAAACAGACTGGGTGTGGTGGCTCAGAAACCTGATAAAAACAAGCTATGGGTAAACGATTCCCTATTCAATAAATGGTTCCGGGATAACCTGCTATCCATATACATCCATATACAGAAAATTAAAAATGGATCTCTTTCTTACACATTATATAACAATTAACTCAAGATGGATTAAAGACTTAAATGTAAAACCCAAAGCTATAAAAACAGTAGAAAAAAAAAAACCTATGTAAGACCGTTCAGGACATAGGCTTAATCAAAGATTTCATGACTAATACGCCAAAAGCAATCGCAACAAAAAGAAAATTGACAAATGAAACCTAATTACAGTTTCCACATAGTGAAAAAATCTATAAACAAAATAAACAGACAACCTACAACATGGGAGACAATTTTTGCAAACTATGCATCTGACAAAGGTCTAATATCCAGCATCTATAAGGAACTTAAACAAATGTACAAAAAAAAAAAACCAACCCCATTAAAAAGTGGGCAAAGTACATAGACACTTCTCAAAAAAAAAAAAAAAAAAAAAGACATACACGTGGCCAACAATCATATGAAAAAAATTCAACATCACTGATTATTAGAGAAACACAAATCAAAACCACAATGAGATACCATCTCACACCAGTCAGAATCGCTGTTATTAAAAAACCAAAAAAATAACAGATGCTGATGAGGTTTTGGAGAAAAGGGAATCCTTTTACACCATTGGTGGGAGTGTAAATTAGTTCTACTATTGTGGAAGACAGTTCCTCAAAGACCTAAAGACGGAAATACCATTTGACCAGCAATCCCATTACTGGCTGTATAACTAATGGAATATAACTTTATTTTATTATAAAGACACATGCATGGGAATATTCACTGCAGCACTATTCACAATACCAAAGACATGGAATCAACCTAAATGCCCATCAATAATAGACTGAATAAAGAAAATGTAGTACAAATACAACACAGAACACTATGCAGCCACAAAAAAGAATGAGATCATCTCCTTTGCAGGAACATGGATAGGGCTGGTGGCCATTAGCCTTAGCAAATTAATGCAGGAACAGAAAACCAAATACCACATATTCTCACTTGTAAGTGGGAGCTAAATAATGAGAACACGTGTACACATAGAGAGAAACAACACACACAGAAACCTATTGGAGGGTGGAGGGTGGGAGGAGAGAAAGGATCACGAAAAATAACTAACAGGTATTACTAAATACCTGTGTGATGAAATGATCTGTACAACACCCCCATGACACAATTTTGCCTATATAAGAAACCTCACATGTAACTCAAAATTTAAAATAAAAGTTAATAAATAAGTAAATAAGTAATCTCCAACTCTACAACACTAGGAGATTCTTCCAATTTTAAAATGGGATAAGGAAATAAAAATTACCATTACACATTTTATTTTAAATTTTAAGTATCATACCAGAAAATATTTAAAAATATTTATGCACCTTATTTAATGTATTACATTGTTAAATAACATTAAGTTATTTAACAATTATTTAAAGCATCCATTTTCTGAATTATTAATACTTTTTTAACTTTTTAATTTATTTTTAAAGATGGGGTCTTGCTATGTTACTCAAGCTAGTCTCAAACCCCTGGCCTCAAGCAATCTTTTTACCTTGGCCTCCCAGAGTGTTGGGATTACTGATTTGAGCCATAATGCTCAGCCAATACTTATTTTTAAAACAGGATAATTAACAGGATAATGCATCCAAGCCATTTGCAAAATTAATGCAGTTCTCAATTTTCTATTACATTACCTATCTTTACTATTCATCATATATTGTAAAGATTTACTTGATTTATTTTCATTACTAATTTTACACACATCCTTAGCCATTTACAGTTAAATATAGACCATGCTTTCACATAATAATTATAAATCATTAAAAATAGATATGGAAAATACTGTAAAATTTCAATACATTAACAATTACAGACCAAATATTGTAAAGAAGTGATATGGGTTGTTTGTGTCCCCACTCAAATCTCATCTTGAATTGTAGCTTCCATAAATTCCACTTGTCGTGGGAGGGACCCAATAGGATGTAACTGAATCATGGGGTTGGGTCTTTCCCCTGCTGTTCTCATGATAGTGAATAGATGTCATGAGATCTGATGGTTTTATAAAGGGGGGGTTCCCCTACACAGGCTCTCTTTTGCCTGCTGCCATGTAAGACATGACTTTGCTCCTCCTTTGCCTTCCACCGTGATTCTGAGCCCTCCCCAGCCACATGGATCTCTGAGTCCCTTAAGCATCTTTTTCTTTATAAATTACCCAGTCTTGGGTATGTCTTTATTAGCAATATGAGAACAGACTAATACAAAGGAGAATGGCAATTTAAAAGTTATAATGTTGGGAGGAGTGGGAAAATCCATAGAAAATCACATTTTTCAAGAATTTAAAAATTACTCTAATTTTCTACTATCCTTACTGGACAGTTCATTTAGCTCTTGGATTCCAGGTGACTGACACTTTCATTGATTAATTTGATTTTGTCGACATACATATCTCCTTAATATGTAAAAGCCCTTACATTGGTTATTATGAATTACTAACTGAAAACAGCTTCAGGGTAGAAGATTTAAAACAAAATCAATATTGAGTAGCCTGTTGATAAATATCACCTTGCTGACCTCCGCTACTCTGAATGGCTTTTTTTTTTTTCCTTCTGTTTGGCACATACAGCACAGGGGCTAAAGGACACTCATGGTCAAATACTGTTGGCTGCTGGGGGTCAATAGAAAAATGAAGGTAGTCAAAGAGACACCACCAGCTCACATGCCACACTAGCAAGATTCCAGATTTAGGTTATGTTTAGGTGACATTTATCTAATAAGAAAAGCCAAGCAGAATGATAAATGCTTTTCACTGTGTCTGAGGAGAAATGGGTTTATAAACAAGCACCTGCCATAAATCACAAAAACAGTTTGTCAAAAGTAACTAGAGATTAGATGCATCTTTTTAATTACTTGAGATAACTTGTGTCCTTCTTTCGAATCTTTCACTCCGCTCTCAGATCAACTATTCTATTCTGCTTTAAGCCTGAATTATTTCCATTCCATTTAAAACATGGGCTTACAGCCAGAATGCTTTTAAGATAGCTCCATGACTCCTGCAGTACTGTCCATAAATATATCTGGGAATAATTGCTAGATGCCCAATAATAAAATACCACAGATGAGCCACCACCTTCTCTCCAATTTTCCAGCTCTTTCTTCCTCATTACATATTAGTTTTGTACTTTAACACATTTGATGCTTACGTACATCTGTAGTAAGCTAGTGATTTTCAGTTTTGAAAGAGAATGGTTTAAAGAAATTAATACTTTTTTTCGACATAATGGCAAATAGTTTTTATTTGAAAGTTTTATCCATGTTACACAATATATGCAAAAATAGAACAAAAGAATGCTTCATAATATAAATGACACAGGAAGGGTCAAAATGTTTCTTTTGAAAAGTGTATTATGTTGAAAAGTAGTAGATCAAGTCCTACAAGTTTTCACTCTGCAGTATTATTAGCATCAATAAATTGTCTGAGTGCAAGAAAATACCCAATTTACAGCATAAAAATAAAAGATTAGATAGGACAACAGCTTGGACATAACAACACATTGAATTAGACTTCCTTTTAAAATGTATTTGTGTTTCTTCCTGTAGCTACAATACTTAATTGATGCACAATTTCTCTAATAGTGTGCCTTCATATTGGTTAACAAAAGAGCTTTGCAGTAATCACAGAATAAAAAGTGTGGAGCAACACAATAAATATCTCAGCACTTGGGTCAGCCCATTTAATTTTCCTTTCAAATTCAATTGTTCACCTGCTGTGCTTATTAAATACAAGCATACTATCTGTATTTGAATGCACTGGCTGTGTCATTTTGGCTCTTTCTACCTACTGCTTTTGCCATTTCTAATGAGAGCTGCCTGTGTACAGCATATCCTCAGAATTTAAATTAGGTATGCTTTTCCACACACAATTTTCAGTTATTTAAATTACCATATAACTAATTTATAATCATAGTATTTCTACTGACTAATCAACATATTATCTTTATAGTAGTTTGAGGAACAACATACATTGCCAAAGGGAACATTTTAAATTAGTAAGTTATGTGAGTTGCTTAGTAAATTATGACCAATTAGAGATGCTTTTAGATTTCAATACGTTTAATGTTTGGGTGCTCAGATATTTGTTGATGGATTGGTAGAATTAATTAGCATTTGTAAAAATAGAACTTACTGTCTCTGTCTATAGCGATATTTTTGTAATGACTTATGTGACAGCTTTTATTCAATTATTTAATAATACAATTCTAATATTTTCATAAATAAATAAAAAGAACCAGTTGAAATTGAAAAAAGAAAAGTGGAATAATTGGCTATGCAGAATTTTAATAACAGATATGATTATGCAGCTGAAAAATAATATATATTTTTATATTACTTAGATATTTCAGATTCATATATGTACCAAATAATCCATGTTAACACTAGAAATTTCATTAGTATAGAAATGAATAACAGTAAAAAAGAAATAAAAATCAAAATTAATGAATTATAGTATCTTTCAATATTAAATTTTTAAAAAGTGTTAGGTCTTAAATAGAAAATCAATGGAAACAAGGGCTCACTTTAACTTAACCCATTAAATTATTTTTTTTAAAGTGGAAATTATTCATAATAATTTTAAACTAGATAACTATACTTTGACTTTTACTTAGTGCCTCCTATATAACTATTATTCAATAACTGATATGAGTAATATACATTTATAATAAAAATATGTTATATAATATATGACATCAAAATATTAACACAACTATATCACATATGATATTCCATAATATATGCGATATTACATACTATAATAAAAGTTAGCATGTTATACATATGTATGTATATACACATGTGGTTATACATTTGTATATATGTGTATGCATATGTGTGTGTATACACACATATGCATACACATAGATTCTTAGTTGCTTTTATTAAACTTTGACTACTCTTTTAAGAGTCTATATTTCTTCACATTGACACTAGGATACAGACTGCTTTTGTTTACTCTCTTCTTTCTATTTAAGACTTTTACTATTATTAAAAATCATTCTGAGACCCTAAGAGCTAATATAAAGAGCACTTTAGCTAATGAAGTAAATTAACAATAAAAAAGCAATTTCACCTCTTGCTATATACCTTAGAAAAACAAGCCTTTATCACCACACATGTTCAATTATGTTCATGGTAGCAATATTCCTAGTATCCAAACACTGAACTGAGATATTGACATGGGTAATCAAACAAACAGGGCTAAAGAATGGATAAAAATAAACTGTGATATAGAATGAATCCCATTGAAAGCAAGTATTCTCATATTCTTATATTGGTTTTGGAGAAGTCAAACAGTATCTAGTAAGCTTACACTTTGTGAACTTTACAATCCATGTTAAAATTTTACATTTATAAACAAAACAATATAAATCTTCTACTTAGGAATTTCCAGCTAAAAGCTGCAAACTTGTGAATTAAAAATTAACTGCCATAGTACAAAGATAAATAAAGGAATAGTTAAAAATAACATTATAAACTAAAATAATTGTTGAAAATACGGAACCCAAAAAAGCATAAAGACATCCAGATTAAGTATAAAATTAAATAATATAATCAGATCTAATTTTATCAGGGGTCCCAACAAATATCCCTGAAAAAACGTTTTTAAAAATATTTTTAATTTTTTGATTAATATAAAAGTTAAATATTCAGCTATATAAAACATGTAATACATAGATGATAAAATATTTTAATACAGAAATGTAATATAATTTTTAAAAAATGGAAGTAGATCGGGCAACAGTAGTAAATAAAACTAGAGGTAATAATATTAATATAAAATAAAGTATATATTAATATAAAAAGTATTATTAGGGGCAGAATGCCACCAACATGACACATGAGAAAATTCACTGAGACGTTATCTATAATTTAAAAATTCTATGTATCTAACAATAATAGTCTTCACATATATGAGTTTTGGTAGGGAGTTTATAGATGTTCAATATATTATTATCTTTACTCTTTGTGTATATGAAATATTTCAGAATATATATCAATTTGTAAATGCAGAAACATTTTAAATAATTGTAAAATGTTAAAATAGTTGTGACCAGTAATTTTCTGTTAAACTGGTCAAAATGAGTAAAAATAGTTATTAAATTCTTTGGAGATTTATAAAAAGGCTTACAGTATATTAAGAAATAATTTTTTAACAACAACTGAAACTTAGTAAGAACAGTGGGAGGTCATAGCATTCAATCTAGAGTATGAACCCATCCCCCATATGCCTGTGCCTTGGAGAAAGGCTTTCTACTGCTCAGAAGTCAAGGGGACCCTTTTTTTTTTGAGGTGGAAGGCTTTCTGCATGAATACAGCAACCAGTGAACAAGGGCAGATCCTATTTTCCACAGTTAAACGGGAAAATAATCTTTCCAACATTGAATGTGGATATCCACATTCAAGAGAATAAAGCTAGGCTTCTACTTCTCACTATACACAAAAATTAGCTCCCATTGAATCATAGATCAACATGTAAGAACAAAAAGCTGTAAATTGCATAAAAGAAAATATAGAAGTAAATTGTTGTAAACTTAGGTTAGGGTTTCTTAGATACAAAACCAAAAGCACTCATGACAAAATAATTATTACACAGATAAATAGGAGTTTTTCAATTTTAAAAACTTTTGTGCTGAAAATAAAACCCTCAAGAAAGTAAGAAGGCACAACAGAAAGTGAGATAGCACTTGCAAATCATATGTGCTGTGAGAGACCTGTATCCCTAATGTAGAATAAAAATTTACAAACCAATAATTAAAAGACAAATAATCCAATTTAAAATTAGATTTTAAAAATGAGCAAAGGAGACACATAGACATTTCTCTAGAAAGATGTATAATTGTAAAATAAACATATGAAAAATTACACATCATTAAGTATTAAGGAATGCAAATCAAAACCACAATGAGATATCAGTTTGAACTTACTAGGATTATTATGATAAGAAAGATAGTAACCAGTGTTTGTGTTGTGAGCTAAATGTGTCCCCACACAATTTCATATCTTGAAGCCTAATTCACAGTACCTCAGACTATGACTGTATTCAGAGATAGAACCTTCAGAGAGGTATTTATGTTAAAAATAGGCTGTTAAGGTGGACCCTGATTCAATATGACTGATATTGGAAAGGAGATTAGGATACTGATAACAGACAGACACTACAAGCATACAGGCACAGGGGTACTACTGATAAGAGACAAACACCAGGGGCATACAGGAACAGAGGAACTGCCTTGTAAAGAGGTACAAGAGGGTCGCCACCTGCAAGCCAAGAAGACAGGCTTCAGGCAAAATCAGCCTTGCTGGACCTTTGATCATGGACTTCTGTCTTGAAGAACTGTGAGAAAATAAATATCTTTTTTTAAAGGCACCGAGCCTATGTGGGGGGTGTGGGTGTGTGCATGAATGTGTCAGCCCTAGCCAACTAATACACTTGGAAAAATATTTTTTAAAAATCAGAGAAATTGGAAATCTCATACATTGCTAAAGTGATCGTAAAATGGACAAAATTTTGAAACTTTCTCAAATTGTTGGATATCACAATACTATCTGATCCACATATATATTCAAGAGAAGTAAAGTCACACATCCACAGGCCAACTGTACAATGTTCATAGAAGCCTTATCCATAATAGCCAAAAGGAGGAAACAGCCCAAGTGTTCGTGGATTGATGAATTTGTGAAGAAAATACAGTACATTCATATTGAGAGATGACAGCGTGCTGGCAGCTCTCGCAGCCCTCGCTCACTCTCCGCACCTCCGGGGCATTGGCACCCACTCTTGCCACGCTTGAGGAACCCTTCAGCCCGCTGGTGCACTGTGGGAGCCCCTTTCTGGGCTGGTCAAGGCCGGAGCCGGCTCCCTCAGCTTGCAGGGAGGTGTGGAGGGAGAGGCGCAGGTGGGAACCAGGGCTGCGCGGCGTGCTTGTGGGCCAGCGCAAGTTCCAGGTGGGCGTGGGCTCGGCAGGCCCCACACTCAGAGTGGCCAGCCTGCCCCGCTGGCCCTGGGCAGTGAGGGGCTTAGGACCCGGGCCAGTAGCTGTGGAGGGTGCGCTGGGTCCCCCAGCCGTGCCGGCCCAACAGCGCTTCACTTGATTTCTTGCCGGGCCTTAGCTGCCTCCCTGCGGGCAGGGTTTGGGACCTGCAGCCCACCATGCCTGAGCCTCCCCCTACTGCCGTGGGCTCCTATGTGGCCCAAGCCTCCCCGACGAGCGCTGCCCCCTGCTCCACAGCACCTGGTCCCATCGACGGCCCAAGGGCTGAGGAGTGAGGACACAAGGTGCTGAACTGGCAGGCAGCTCCACCTGTGGCCCCAGTGTGGGATCCACAGGGTGAAGCCAGCTGGGCTCCTGAGTCTAGTGGGGACTTGGAGAACCTTTATGTTTAGCTAAGGGATTGTAAATATACCAATCAGTGCTCTGTATCTAGCTCAAGGTTTGTAAACACACCAGTCAGCACCCTTTGTCTAGCTCAGGGTTTGTGGATGCACCAATCGGCACTCTGTATCTAGCTAATCTGGTGGGGACTTGGAGAATCTTTGTGTCTAGCTAAGGGATTGTGAATACACCAATCAGCACCCTGTGTCTAACTCAAGGTTTGTAAATGCACCAATAAGCCCTCTGTGTCTAGCTGATGTGGTGGGAACTTGGAGAACTTTTGTGTCTAGCTCAGGGATTGTAAATGCACCAATCAGCACCCTGTCAAAACAGACCAATCAGCTCTCTGTAAAATGGACCAATCAGTAGGATGTGGGTGGGGCCAGATAAGGGAATAAAAGCACGCTGCCCGAGCCAGCTGTGGCAAACTGCTCAGGTCCCCTTCCACACTGTAGAAACTTTGTTCTTTTGCTCTTTGCAATAAATCTTGCTGCTGCTCACTCTTTGGATCCACACTGCCTTTATGAGCTGTAATACTCATGGCAAAGGTCCGCAGCTTCACTCCTGAAGCCAGTGAGACCACAAACCCACCAGGAGGAATGAACAACTCCAGATGTGCCACCTTAAGAGCTGTAACACTCACTGCAAAGGTCTGCAGCTTCACTCCTGAAGCCAGCGTTACCACAAACCCACCGGAAGGAAGAAACTCTGAACACATCTGAGCATCAGAAGGAACAAACTCTGGACATGCCACCTTTAATAACTGTAACACTCACCGCGAGGGCCCACAGCTTCATTCTTGAAGTCAGTGAGACCAAAAACCCACCAATTCCAGGCACAATATCATGGAATTTTATTCAGGAATAAAACAAATGAAGCATTGCTGCATGTAATAATATGCGTAAACTTCGAAAATACTATGCTCACTAGGTATTCATATTACCACATGTAAAATGGATTCATTTATTTGTTATGTCTAGAATAAGTAAGTCTATGGAAATTAAATTAGGTTAGTTATTGAACAGGCATTGGCGGTAGCTGGGAACGAGGGACTGTAAACAGGTACAGGATTTCTTTTTAGGAAAGGGATGATGACTAGTTTCTTAAATGATAGTAATGGTTGTACAACAAAAACACTGAATAGTACACATTAAAAGCTATAGTATTATGATATGTGTATTAAAACTCAATAAAGTAGTTAAAACTGAGTATTTGCTAAATTCTAAGTTTTAAATAGTCAATGAACAATTTGTTCATGTTCACATGTTATCAAAGCTTTATTTTCTCTGGATCAGTGAGAAATTATGGGGCTAAACTCTGAAAGTAAAAGAAAATCTAGAAAGTTGAGTCCATTACTTGAAACTAAGAAGTTAAACTGAGCTTTTAAAACCTCATTGGTATGAAAAGAAATGTACATGTCATGGTTTATACAGCAAATGGAAAAAATAATTATTATTGGACTTGGTTTGAGACCTCTAGTTTACACCATAATTATAAAACTGGAATTTAAATAAACCATCTCTAGTGACTAAAATTCTGTTTAAATTATGTTATTCCTTCATGAGATTAAATAATTTTACAATGTTGATGATGTTAGTCTATTTGTCTGCTAGACATGAATTGAAGTCTCTGAAGTAAGATTTCATCATCCAGAAAATTAAATTTTATGTAATTTGTTATATCAAGTGTGTGGCACTTAACCAAACCTAACTAGAAATACAAAGAGAGAAAACAATTGACCAAAAGTCAAGAGCATTCAATAGAAATAACTGAAATAGGATAAGACAATGCAGTCATCATATATGGACATTGAAATAACTATTCTTCTTCATTCAAATAGCAGACAAGATAGGTAACTTTATCACAGAACTGAGATGTTACAAAATAGAAAAAATAATAGTAAAATAAAAATAATACAAAAAAATACAATGAAATATATTGGGGAAACCTGCCCCCAGTATTTCAACTTAGGTTCTTTCTATTTTCCATAAGTGTTGACCAGCTGAGAAATAAAGAGAGATAGTATAAAGAGAGGAATTTTACAGCTGGGCCACCAGGGGTGACATCACATATCGGTAATTGTGATGCCTGCCTGAGCCTTAAACCAGCAAGTTTTTATTAAGGTTTTCAAAAGGGGAGGGGGTGTAAGAACAGGGAGTAGATACAAAGGTCACATGCTTCAAAGGGCAAAAAGCAGAGCCACTAATAGGGTCTAACAAAGATCACATGCTTCTAAGGGAACAGGACAAAGGGCAAAAGCAGAACTACTGATAAGGGTCCAACAAAGATCACAAGTCTAAGGGCAAAAGCAGAACCACTGATAAGGGTCTATGTTCAGCGGTGCATGTATTGTCTTGATAAACATCTTAAACAACAGAAAAGAGGGTTCAAGAGCAGAGAACTGGTCTGACCACAAATTTACCAGGGTGGAGTTTTCCCCCTCCCTAGTAAGCCTGAGGGTTCTGCAGGAGACCAGGGCATATCTCAGTCCTTATTTCAACTGCATAAGACAGACACTGCCAGAGCAGCCGTTTACAGACCTCCACCCAGGAATGCATTCCTTTCCAAGGGTGTTAATATTAATATTCCTTGCTAGGAAAATAATTTAGCGATATGTCTCCTACTTGCATGTCTGTTTATAGGGTCTCTGCAAAAAGAACAATATGGCTTTTTTTACCCGATCCCGCAGGCAGTCAGACCTTATGGTTGTCTTCCCTTGTTCCTTAAAAATCACTGTTATTCTGTTCTTTTTCAAGGTGCACTGATTTCATATTGTTCAAACACACATGTTTTACATTCAATTTGTACAGTTAACACAATTATCACAGTGGTCCTGAGGTGACATACATCCTCAGTTTAGGAAGATAACAGGATTAAGAGATTAAAGTAAAGACAGGCATAAGAAATTATAAAATTATTATTTGGGAACTGACAAATGTACATATTAATATGAAATCTTCACAATTTATGTTCCTCTGCCATGGCTTCAGCTGGTCCGTCTGTTCGGGGTCCCTGACTTCCCACAACAGAAATATTTTTGTATTTTCTCAAAATAGGAAAAAAATGCAAACAATAAAATAGTAGAAGTCATATATGAAATTCAATGAGTGGTTTTATGACATATTAGTCTCAGTTTATGAGAAAATTAGTGATCTCTATATGTGACACGAAAATGTCCAGAGAAAAAAATAGCAGATAATATAGAGGAAAGGAGACTAGACAAGTCTTTTGCAATAT
Organism: Homo sapiens; assembly: GCF_000001405.40. NCBI lineage: Eukaryota > Metazoa > Chordata > Mammalia > Primates > Hominidae > Homo > Homo sapiens. Next base: position 194,023,887 of record NC_000002.12, read on the forward strand.
GAGAAAATATTATGATATATATTTTTTAGTTTTCCAAGGTAAAGGGAAAAAAAGGGGGTGGTAGAAAATATGAGGAGATAATGGCTGAAAATTTTACAAAATGAACAAGTTACAAACTACACATTTAAAAGTTTAATGAATCCTACAGTTTATTTATAGCTCCTAAAGGATTAAAAAATATTTATTTATTTATTTATTTATTGAGACAGAGCCTCACTCTGTCACCCAGGCTGAAGTGTAGTAGTGCAATCTCAGCTCACTGTAAACTCCGCCTCCTGGATTCAAGCATTCTGCTGCCTCAGCCTCCCAAGTAACTGGGATTACAGTCTCACTCTGTTGCCAGGCTGGAGTGCAGTGGTGCGATCTCAGCTCACTGCAATCTCCACCTCCCGAGTTCAAATGATTCTCCTGCCTCAGCCTCCCGAGTAGCTGGGATTACAGATGCGCACCACCATGCCTAATTTTTGTATTTTTAGTAAAAACAGGGTTCCATTCTGTTGCCCATGCCAGTCTCAAACTGCTGAACTCCAGCTATCTGCCCTCCTCAGCCTCCCAAACTGCTGGGATTACACCATGCCCAGCCATATTTATATTTATAATCATGAAAGAAACAACAATTACATGTGACATCTCAATATAGATAATGGAAGCCAGAAGACAATGGAACATTATCTTCAAAGTTTGGAAAAAAATATAATTGCCAACCTAGAATAGCATGACTTTTCTAGTAAACACAACTAAATGAATTCATCCCTATTGAAACAATTTTAATTAAAATACATAAGAATGATTTGGGCTGAAGAAAATATGCAAGAAGTAAGCTTAGGGATAAAGAAAACAACAGAAATGGAAAAGCAAAATATGTGGGAAATGTAAATAAATATTATTAATAATTGCATAAGACAATAATAATTCTTTTGGAGTTTAAATATGAAGAAGGATAAAATGTAGTATAAGACTAAGGCATAAACCTGTGTGTCATACATACAATTTATGTGTTCTGAGGTCTTATAAAATATGGGAATTTGTGAAAGGATAATTTGTATTATCAAGAATGCATTATTTAATTACTCAGTATTCTCTAAAATTAGTTAAAGAAGGTCCAAATAAAAGGATAGTAAGGCTGGGCACAGTGGCTCACATCTGTAATCCCAGCACTTTGAGAGGCCTAGGCAGGTGGATCACGAGGTCAGGAGATCGAGATCATTCTGGCCAACATGGTGAAACCCTGTCTTTACTAAAAATACAAAAATTAGCCAGGTGTGGTGGTGCACATCTGTAATCCCAGCTACTCGGGAGGCGGAGGCAGGAGAATCATTTGAACTCAGGAGGCAGAGATTGCAGTGAGCTGAGATCGCACCACTGCACTCCAGCCTGGCAACAGAGTGAGACTCTGTCTCAAAAAAAAAAAAAAAAAGATAGTAAAGAAACAAACAACAAAAACTGCAAAGAAGGGGAAGAAGGAGGAGATTTAATATAATAAAATAGTAAAACATTGAATAAAAGCAAAAAGTTAGGCTACAGGAAATGAAATACTGGATATGTAAAAAGCAAATGGTGATATGAAAGACTTAAATTCAAAATATATGCAATAAAAATAGTTTGGATGCTCCAAATCAAAGATGATACTTTCAGACTAGATTAAGAAATAAAGTCAAGGGACATGGATGAAGCTAGAAGCCATCATTCTGAGCAAACTATCACAAGGACAGAAAACCAAACACCACATGTTCTCACTCATAGGTGGGAATTGAACAATGAGAACACTTGGACACAGGGTGGAAAACATCACACACTGGGGCCTATCATGGGGTGGGAGGAGGGGGAAGGGATAGCATTAGGAGATATACCTAATGTAAAAGATGAGTTAATGGGTGCAGCACACCAACATGGCACATGTATACATATGTAACAAACCTGCACGTTTTGCTCATATACCCTAGAACTTAAAGTATAATAAAAAATAAATAAATAAAATTTTAAAAAAAGAAATACAGTCACAAGGGAAAAAATATGTGAAGTTTAAGAATGTAGAAAGTTTTTAAAGTAAACAAGAATGGACAGTTTGTAATAATAAATGGGCAATCTACCAGAAAGATGTAATAATTCTGAATTTATGTGCATAGAATAATACACTTTAAATCACATGAAGCAAAAGTTGACAGTCAAAAACTTAAAGAAATTATTACACTGATCCCTAGGTGTATTGGTCTGTTCTCATGCTATTGTGAAGAAATACCCAAGACTGGGTAATTTATAAAGAAAAGAGGCTTGACTCACCATTCTGCATGGCTGTGAAGGCCTCAGGAAACTTCCAATTGAGGCCAAAGGTGAAGGGGAAAAAAGCACCTTCTTCATAGGATGGCAGGAACGGCCAAGCAAACGGGGAAAAGCCCCTTATAAAATCACCAGATCTCATGAGAACTCACTGACTATCACTAGAACAGCATGAGGGTAACTGGCCCCATGATTCAATTACCTACCGCCAGGCCCCTCCCATGACACTTGGAAATTATGGGAACTATAATTCAAGATGAGATCTGAATGAGGACACAGCCACACCATTTCAATAGGTATCTATGGGGGATTGGTTCCTGGACCTCTCAAGAATACCAAATACATGATGCTCAAGTCTATGATATGAAATGGCATAGCATTTTCATATAGCCCATGCATATCTTTCTGTATACTTTAGATAATCTATAGATAACTTATAATATCTAATGAAATGTAAAGGCTGTATGCATAGTTGTTATGCTGCATTGATTGGGGGATAATAATGAGGAAAAAACTCTGTACATGTTCACTACATATATAATTACTATTATTTTAAATATTTTTGATCTATGGTTGGTTTAACCCACCAATGCAAAGCTAATAGATATGGAAGGGCAACTGTAGAAAAAAAAGATTTTTAACAAAATTCTATCAGTTACTAATAAAAGGAGCAGACAAAAGTAAGTACATGTGCATATATAGATGTATAAAACAATGTATTGACAAACTAAATAATGCACATTTTTTTAGATGCACGTATTATGGACTATATACAAAAAGCACAATTTCCATATGCTAGACACCAAACAGAATTCACTACATTTTAAATGCTTAAAATCATAATGACCTAAAACTAACATTATTAAAGAAAAATAGATTGCCCTGAATATGCAAAAAGTAAAAAGTACATTTTTCAATAACTTGTGGCTTCTAGAAGAAAATAAGAAGAACTTCAAGACTTTTGCAAAGGTAAAGATTTCTTAAATAGAAACAAAAGTACTAAACAAAAGAAAATAGTATTTAGTTTAAGAATCTTTAAAAATATATCTTCTTCAAAATAAGCCATTAAGAAATAGTGATCCTAATAATCATCATTATTATTATTACTGATCTGAACACTTCAAATATTTTTTAAAATCTCTGACATGAAAAATACTAATTTAATATTATTGTAGAATATTATCAAACTAATAAGCTAAGTCAATATTTTGGAAACAGGAAAATGAAATAGTTAAGTATTCTTTCTACATTTCCTAGATGAAATATGTCATTGCATAAGAAAAAGAGAATATCAAGTTTCTCTTTAGAAAATAACATTAGCTACTAAATGCAGAAGAAATTTTAAAATTAGAAATTAAGAATTGAGAAATTAAAAAATCACCAATTTGTAACTCTAATAATTGAGTGGACTTGGATGTTGGTCATCAAGAATTGCTAACACAATAAAAAGATAGACAAGCATGCATTTTTTTCTCTAAGCACAGTATGACTTGTATAACATAATGTTTTGTATGTCATATTTTCTTTTTATTGGCAAAATTTTGATACCTCATTTTGTAATGTTCAAAGTACTATTATGTGCAGTAAAAAACTGGAAACAATTCAAATTTTCATCAATGGTATAAATAATATCTGCCCTATAGTATATTAGTTAATAGTAATTGAGTGGCCTTGTTTTCTGCCTTTGTCTTGTTGTGCTGACACCACCCAGCTCTCATCAACTCATGATACCAAACACCATGTCTTCATGGTGTTGAAGTTGATGTGGAAATTGCTGAACAATTTGTGACTATCAAGAACATGTTAGAAGATTTGGGAATGGTTGATGGAGATGTTGACTCATCTCCTTTACCAAGTGTTAATTCAGCAATCTTAAAAAAAAAATAAGTCATTTAGTGGTGTAGCCACCACAAAGATGGTTCTCCTCCTTCTGAAGATAACAGGAACAAAGAAAAGTGAACAGGTGATATCCCTGTTTGGGAACAGGAATTTCTGAAAATTTGACCAAGGAATACTTTTTGAACTTCTTTTGGCTGAAAACTACTTCTCAAAATTTCTTGATGTTACATGTGAGACAGTCACCAATATAATCAAGAAAAACAAAACAAAACAAAAACTCGTGAGGAGATTCATGAGAATGAGTTTAGTAACTTTTTTTTTTTTTTTTTGGAAAGACAGCAGATAGGAGAAAGGGCTAACATGCTGCTCCCACATGGATAAACATAACAGCATGTGGACATTCACACTGAATTTTTTCTCCAAGAACTTATATCAGGAAAACTGAAAGAAATCGCAGATGCTTTGAAAGAAGTGGCATGTTGCTGCAAATTCTATGAGACAGGTGAAAAACTGTGAGTTCCCAAAGTGTGAGAGGGGAATAACCTGCCACCAAACACATATTCTTACTGGGGAATCTGAAAATCCAGGTCTCAAGAGAAAGATTTAACCTTACCTAGAGCTGAAATGGATTTAGGGAGCCATGTGAAATATAAAAGTAGAAGCAGCAGTGGGAAGAGCCTTGTAGGCGCTCCCAGTCTCCAGCTCGAGCCCAGGGAAGCCATTCCTGGCCTAATCTCATAAGAGCCTTTGGATAAGGCAGCCAGCAAAATCAGAGAACTGTCACAGGGTGAAAGAAGCTTCCAACTGAAATTTGTACTGATTGCAACAGGGCACAAATTTTTCTCGAGCAGAGTCCAGGGGCAAATGGGAACTGCTGCAAATACAAGGGCAGGATATGCCACAGATAGTGTAGGCAGATGGGGAGGGGTGAGGCCTAAAACCCCTGCTTTCTTTCTCAGCAGGGAAGCTTACAGCCTAGGGCAAGGTCTAAGTGGGGCACTGCAGGAACAAGACTGGCCCTCAAAAACTGTGTGGGAACTGGGTGGGGCTTTTCACTACCAGCTATCCCGTAATTCCATAGCAAACTATGTGACACAGCAGAGGCAGCCATAATTCTCTCTGGATCATAACCTCATTGAACTGAGAATCACCCCCTAAACTCCATAGTGAAGAGTCTGAGACCAGACCTGCATAACCCTGCCCCCTCCTGATGGTATTCCCCTATCTGCCTTGGTAGCTGAACACAAAAGACATAAACTTTTCTGAGCTTTATGGGACTCCACATTGCCTAAGAAAACAGAATATGTACCCTGGCCAACTTAGGGCAAGTTTAGATCCCCCTATTACTACCACAGCTGATGCTCTCTTGAAAGTATCATCTCCTGGCTGGAGGTCAACCAACTAAGGCCATTACAGCAACTCATGACAGAATAACCCTGCTCCCAGGAAAAGGAAAACAATAGCTAATACCACTGCCTTCAACATCCTGGCTAACCAGAGGTCCTGAGTCTATTTACATAATAACTTCCCTGCTAACATAACCAGCATTTGAGAAAACTAGCACACTAAACATATCTACAACCACGGACTCTCACAGAGTCTACTTCACTCCCTTTCCACTTCCACCAGAGCAGGTGCTGGTATCCACAGCTGGGAGACCTGATGATGGATCACATCACAAGATGCTTTGCAGACATTCCCCAGCACCAGTCCAGAGCCTAGTAGTCCACTAGGTGGCTAGACCCAGAAAAGCAATACCAATCACTGCAGTCCAACTCTCAACAAACCCCTTCCCTGGGGGTGAGGGGGAGCACAACACATCAAGAGATCACCCCGTGGAACAAAAGAATGTGAACAACAGGCCTTGACTTCCAGACCCTTCCAGTGAGATAGTCTACCCAAATGAGAAGGAATTAGACAAGTAATTCTGATAATATGAAAAAACAAGTTTCTATAACACCCCCAAAAGATGACACTAGCTCCCCAGCAATGGATCTAAACCAAGAAGAAATTGAAGAATTGCCAGATAAAAAATTCAGAGGGCTTATTAATAAACTACTCAAGGAGCTACCAGATAAAGGTGAAAACCAACTTAAAGAAATTAATAAAAACTATATAGGTTATGGATAAAAATTATCCAAAGGAATAGATATCGAAGAAAAAACAATGACAACTTTTGAAAATGAAAGATACACTTAGAGAAATAAAAAATGCAATGCAAACTTTCAACAATAGACTAGAACAAAATGAAAAAAGAGCTTCAAAGACCAAAGACAAGGATTTTGAATTAACTAAATCAGACAAAGACAAAAAAAGAAGATTAAAAAAATAAACAAAGCCTCCAAGGAATTTGGGATTATGTTAAATGGCCAAACCTAAGAATAATTGATGTTCCTGAGGAAGAAGAGAAATCTAACAGTTTGGAAAACTTATTTGAGAAAATAATTGAGGAAAACTTCCCTGGCCTTGCTAGAGAACTAGATATTCAAATACATGAAGGTCAAGGAACAGCTGGGAAAATCATTGCAAAAATCGTATCAACTAGGCACATAATCATCAGGTTATCTAAAGTCAAGGTGAAGGAAAGAATCTTAAAACCTGTGAGACAAATATCATCAGGTAATCTATGAAAGAAAATCTATCAGACTAACAGCAGATTTCTCAGCAGAAGCTTTATAAGTGAGAAGGGATTAGGATTTTATCTTTAGCCTCCTGAAAGAAAATAATTGTCAGCCAAGAATTTTGTACCCAGCAAACTAAGCTTCATGAATGAAGAGGAGATAAAGTTTTTTTTCTTTTTTTCAGACAAACAAATGCTGAGAGAATTTGCCATTACCTAGCCAGCACTACAAGAGTTGCTAAAAAGAGTTTCTAATTTTCAAATGAAACCTCAAAATACACCAAAATAGAACCTTCTTAAAGCATAAATCTCACAGGGCCTATAAAACAACAACACAATAATACCTCACATCTCAACAGTAACATTGAATGCAAATGGGCTAAATGCTCCATTAAAAGATATGGAATGGCAGATTGGCTAAAAGTTCACCAGCCAAGTATCTGCTGTCTTCAAGAGATTCACCTGACACATGAGGACTCAAATAAACTTAAGGTAAAAGGGTGGAAAAAGATATTCCACACAAATAGAAACTAAAAGTGAGCAGAAGTAGCTATTCTTATATAAGGCAAAACAAACTTTAAGGCAACAAGGGTTTAAAAAGACAAAGAGGGACATTATATAATGATAAAAGGATTCGTCCAGCAGGAAAATATCACAATCTTAAATATATATGCACCTAACACTAGAGTTCCCAAATTTATAAAATAATTACTACTAGACCCAATAAATGAAATAGATGGCAACATAATAATAGTAAGGGACTTCAATATTCCACTGACAGCACTAGAGAGGTCATCAAGACAGAAAGTCAACAACAAAAAAAATGGACTTAATCTGTACTCTAAAACAAATGAACACAACAGATATTTACAGAACATTCCACCCAACAACTGCAGAATATACATCCTTTTCGTAAGTACATGGAACATTCTCCAAGATAAACCATATGATAGGCAACAAAACAAGTCTCAATAAATATAAGAAAATTGAAATTGTATCAAGTATCCTTTCAGACCACAGCTAAATAGAACTGGAAATTAACTCCAAAAAGAATCCTCAAAACTATACATGATAATTAAGTAATCTGCTCTTGAATGATCTTTGGGTCAAGGATGAAATCAAGAAGGAAATTTAAAAATTCTTTTAACTGAACAATAATGATGACACAACCTATCACACCTCTAAGATACAGTAAAAGGGGTGCTAAGAGGAAAGTTTATAGCATTAAATACACTAAAAAGTCTAAAAGAGCACTGATAGGCAATCTAAGGTCATACCCCAAGGAATTAGTGAAACAAAACAAACCAAATCCAAACCCAGCAGAAGAAATGAAATAACAAAAATCAGAGCATAAATAAATAAAATTGTAACCATGGATAAATGAAACAAAAAGCTTATTTTTTGAAAAGATAAACAAAATTGATAGAACATTAGCATGATTAACAAAGAAAAGATAGAAGATCCAAATAAGTTCAATTAGAAACAAAATGCAAGATGTTTCAACCAATACCACAGAAATGCAAGAGATCATTCAAGGCTACTATGAACACCTTTATGCACACAAACTAGAAAATCTAAGGAGAGGGACACATTCCTGGAAACATATAACCCTCCTAGAATAAATCAGGAAGAAATAGAAACTCTGAACAGACCAATAAGAAGTAGCAAAATTAAAACAGTAACAAAAAAAATTTGCCAACAAAATAAAGTCCAGGACCAGGTGGATTCATGGTTGAATTCCCTCAGACATTCAAAGAAGAATTGGTACCAATCTTACTGAAACTATTCCAAACGAGAAAGAAAGATGGAATCCTCCCTAAATTGTCCTATGAAGCCAGTATCACCATGAAACTAAAACCAGACAAGGACATAAAAACAGTGAAAAAAACTACAGACTAATATCCCTGATGAACATAGGTGCAAAAATCCTCAACCAAATGCTATTCAAACCTAACCAAATCAAACAACATATTAAAAAGGTATGCCATTGGATTCAGTCCAAATCAAACCGCATATTAAAAAGACATGCTGTTGGATTCAGCCACCTAGTGTTTTAAAACAAAAGATAATATACCATGAACAAGTAGGTTTCATAGCAGAGATACAGGGATGGTTTAACATATGCTAGTCAATAAATGTGATACACCACACAAACAGATTTAAAAACAAATATATAATCACCTCAATAGATGCAGAAAAGGCATTTGACAAAATCCAGCATCCATTTATTATTAAAACCCTCAGCAAAATTGGCATAAAAGATACATACCTCAAGGTAATAAAAGCCATCTATGTCAGACCCACAGCCACCATAATACTGACTGGGGAAAAGTTGAGAGCATTCCCCCTGAGACCTGGAACAAGACAAAGATGCCCATTTTTATGACTTATGTTCGACATAGTACTGGAAGTACTAGCCAGATCAATCAGACAAGAGAACAAAATAAAGGGCATCAAAATTGGTAAAGAGGAAGTCAGACTGTTGCTGTTTGCTGATGATATAATCATATACCTAGAAAAAACTTAGACTCATCCAAAAAGCTCCTAGATTTGATGAATGAATTCAGCAAAGTTTCAGGATACCAAACCAATGTACACAAAGCAATAGAACTACTATAGACCAACAACAACAAAACTGAGAATCAAATAAAAAACTCAACCCCTTTTACATCTGCCAAAAAAAAAGTAAAATACTTAGGAATATACCTAAGTAAGGAGGTGGAGGATCTCTATAAGGAAAACTATAAAACACTACCAAAAGAAATCATTTGATGACACAAATAAATGGAAACACATCCCGTCTTCATGGATGGGTAGAATAAATATTGTGAAAATGACCATATTGCCAACAACAATCTACAGATTAAATTCAATTTCCATCAAAATGCCTTCATTATTCTTCACAGAACTAGAAAAAACTATCCTAAAATTTATATGGAGCCAAAAAAGAGCCTGCATAGCCAAAGCAAGACTGAGCAAAAGGAACAAATCTAGAGGTATCACATGGCCTGACTTCAAAGTATACTATGAGTCTGTAGTTAACAAAACAACATGCAGTGGTATAAAAATAGACACACAGACCAATGGAACAGAATAGAGAACCCAGACATAAAGCCAAATACTTACAGTCAATTGATCTTCAACAAAGCAAACAAAACATAAGGTGGACAAAGGACACCCTATTCAACAAATGGTGTCGGAATTATTGGCAAGCCATAGGTAGAATAATGAAGCTGGATTCTAATCTCTCACCTTATATAAAAATCCACTCAAGATGGATCAAGGACTTAAGTCTAAGACCTAAAACCATGAAAATTCTAGAAGATAACATATAGAAAACACTTCTAGATTGACTTAGGCAAAGAGTTAATAAGAAGGAACCCTAAAACAAATGCAAGAAAAACAAAAGTAAATAGATGGGACTTAATTAATCTATTAATCAAAAAAGCTTCTGCACAGAAATGAAAATCAGCAGCGTAAACAGACATCCCACAGAATTGGAGAAAATATTCACAAAATATGCATCCAACTAAGGGCTAATATCCAGAATCTACAAGAAACTCAAACAAATCAGCAAGAAAAAAATGTCATCAAAAAGTGAGCAAAGAACATGAATAGACAGTTCTCAAAAGAAGGTATACAAATGGCCCACAAACATGAAAAAATGCTCAACATTGCTAATTATCAGGGAAATGTAAATCAAAATCACAATGAGATACCACCTTTCTCCTGCGAAAATGACCATAATTAAAAAAACAAAACATAATAATTTTGGCATGGATATCATGAAAAGGGAACACTTTTACACTGCTGATGGCAATGCAAGAAGGACAAAGTTCCTTAAATAACTAAAAGTAGAACTACCGTTTGAGCCAGCAATTCCACCACTGGGCATCTACTCAGAGGAAAAGAAGTCATTATATGAAAAAAACATTGCACACACATGTTTATAGCAGGACAATTTGCACTGCAAAAATATGGAACTAGCCTAAATGCCCACCAACCAATTAGTGGGTAAAGAAAATGTGATTTTATACACACACACACACACACACACACACACACACATATACATACTATGGAATACTACTCAGCCATAAAAAGGAATGGAATAATGGCATTTATGGCAATCTGAATGGGGTTGGAGATCATTGTTATAAGTGAAGTAACTAAGAAATAGAAAAGCAAGTACAATATATCCCCACTTAAAAGTGGGAATTAAGCTATGAGGACACAAAGGCATAAGAATGATACAATGGACTTTGGAGACTTGGTAGAAGTGGAGTGATGGATAAAAGACCACACATTGGATACACTAGATATGGCTTGGGTGACCGGTGAACCAAAATCTCAGAAATCACCACTAAAGAACTTATCTATGTAACCAAAACCAAACACCAGCTGTTACCAAAAACTATTGAAATAAAATTTAAAACTTAAAGTATAATAATAATAAAAATAAATAAATAAATAAATATACAACATTAACTGTAACAGATGGTAAATTATAAAATAAAACAGCCATGGAATTTGGCAGAGAAAAAAAAAAACAACTTTATTGAAGAGGTTCACATTGTAAATAAAAGAACTTGCAATAAGTTTCCTGAAACAGAATTAACAAAATATTATCTTTATTCATGAGTTGGAAACTGGGAAAAGGCTACTTGATGTAAATATTCAGAGTGGGGTTTTTCAGATGTCTTCCAGTCTCCTAGAGTCAAGGAGTACCATTGGTATTGATTAAACTATATGTAGTAGGACTCCCTTAGCTGCAACTGAGTATTAACTTTTTATTTTCAATCCTCCTAGCTTTGAATATATTGCCTAGAGACTCATTTACTACCCTGTTTGTGTTTTGGGGCAGGGGAAATCTAACTACATAGTTTGTTAGCTTTTCAATTAAAAGAGACAATAACGATAATTATAACAAATGATGTTAGCTAAAACTTATATAGTAATTACTTTGAACCAGACGGTTTTCTAAATGTTGTTATATCATTTCATCCTCATAGCCACCTCACAACTACTATAATCTCCATTTTACAAATGAGGGAACTGAGGCATAGGAAAGTTAAGTAACACTCCTATGGACACACAGTTACTCAAGGTCAAAAATGAGATTTTAATTTAGGATTTCCCAGTTCAAAATACATTGTTCTTAGATTCTAATCCCTCCTTAATATTTAGCAATTGGTAGACATTGGCTTTCTATAAACAATATTAAAATGCTACTAAATTTCCTGGCAGAAGGAGCAACAATTTAGGAATCATGTCCCCTGCTGCTTCAAGCTCATTAGTGGAGAGCAGTTTATAACTTTTTAGTTGCATCCTTGGCAGTTACAGAGACAATGGTTTTATAGAAGACACAAGAAAGAAATAACTTTCTATGAGATTTGTGAAAAATTATAATGTGGTTTATAAGTAGCAAATGAAATACCCAAGCATATTTGGGACCCCCACTGCTATGGTCTGGAATATTCATTTCCTCCTAAAATTCATATGGTGAAATCTCAACCCCTCAAAGTGATGGTGTTAGGAGGTGGGGTCTTTGGGAGTTGATAAGGTTGTGAGGGAGGAATCCTCATGAATAGGATTAATATAAAAAAGAAATACCAGAGAGCTTGTTCCTCCTTTCCAACAAGTGAGGACAAAGCAAGAAGCTATCATCTATGAACAAGAAAGCAGATACCAAATCTAATGGCGCCTTAATCTTGAATTTCCCAGCCTCAAGAACTGCAAGACAATAAATTTCAGTTGTATGTATGCTTCCCAGTTTATGGTGTTTTATTACAACAGCCCAAAGATACTACCTTTGGCTGCCTCTAATGAGTCCAAATCTGCCCTATAGATGTCCACTCCCCACATTTCCAGGCTGAATCAGCTGGACTCTCCAAGCAGCAGCTAGGGAAGCCAGCAGAAATGGTGAGCATGTGCAGCAGCAAACACTCAGCTCCACTATCATGGAAACAATGCATAAAAGTTGTTCTTAGGCCTCTTTAAGCCACGAAGCAAATAAATGCATACATCTGTGGTGGTGATTAATGAGTGTCATATGCTACCATACAATCTACAGGAAATATCTGGATAGAAAAGAATAAAAATTATCTACAGGCCTTCTGGGAGACCATGAAAAGGTCAGACATGGATTTTCATCTTGCATGCAGTGTATAATCAAGAGGCCCTGAAATCAAGAGAAGCATATCTTCACACCTAGTGCTGTGGACACACTGCCACTATATAATTTTTAACACAAGGAGTGTTCACTTCTGGTATGCATTCACTTCACAATAATCTACTCTTCACTTCATTCACATGAATGCTGACTATATTCCATCTTCCTCTTTGTCTGATCACACAAATATCAGATTGTACTCCCTGGCTTTAACAATAGATTTTGATGGCTCATAAAAAAAGCGCCAGGCTGGGCATGGTGGCTCATGCCTTTTGTCCTAGCTACTTGGAAGGCTGAGGCGGGAGAATCACTTGAGCAAGGAGGTGGAGGCTGCAGTGAGCCATGATCACACCCCTGCACTCCAACCTGGGCAACATAATGAGACCCTGTCTCAAAAAAAAAAAAAAACCCACAGATCAAAAAATGTTTACAACCAAATAAGAAAATTATCCTTTTTTTCTTCCATGAAACATTTGAAGGAAGTGGAGGATACAGCCATAATTATACTTTGAGGTTCAGAAAGTTATAATGTGGTTGGTCAAATGACAAAGCGATTATAATAGCTAGTACATTTAGGAAAATATATTCAATTGCAGGAGTAATAAGGAATATGAAAATGCAAAAATATGCTTTTTCACCCAAAAGTTTACTAACATTTATGTAAGCAAGCATATGGTGAGATGGACACATTTATAAACAATTTGTAAGAATGCAATGTATTAAAACATTTTTGGAAGAATTTGGCAGCATATGTCAAATAAAAATAGACAAATTCAAGACTATAAACTAAAATAAGCATATGCATATATGTGTGTGCATGCTGGTGTGTGTGCATAAAAAATTACATATATATATGATTATTGAGTCATAGGATAATATTGGTAAAATAAATTGAAATATACTATGTATGCTTTAAGAGGTGACTGGTTTTAAATGTCATACTATAAAAAAGTAAACATGCAGCAATTAATCATGGGATAGGTCTATATGAATTGATAAGGAAAGGTTTCCAAAGAAAATGGTGATGTGATCAAAACAATTTAAAATAAATTTAGAACTTTCTTTGGGTTTAAAAGTATGCAAATCCCCATCAAAATCCAAGCAAGTTATTTTGCAGACATTGACAAATTGATTATAAAGCTTACATGTAGAGGCAAAAAACCCAGAATAGCAAACACAATATTAAAGGAGAAGAACAAAGAAGACTGATATTGTCCTATTTAAAGGCTTAGTGTAGCGCTGTAGTAATCAAAACAGTGTGGCTTTGACAAAGAAATAGACAAATAGATCAATGAAACAGAATAGAGAGTCCAGTAATAGTCCACATAAATAGAGCCAACTAATCTTTGACAAAGGAGTAAAGGCAGTACAACTTTATATCCACATGCAAAAAACAAAAAGAATCTAGATACAGACTTTATAATTTTCACAAAAATGAACTCATAATGGATCACAGACCCAAATGTAAAGAGCAAAATAATAGAACTCCTGGAAGATAACAGGAGTACATGCAGATGGCCTGAGGTTTAGGATTGACTTTTTAGCTATAACATCAAAGGCATAGTATGTGAAAGAAATAAGCTAAACTTTATTAAAATTTAAAAGTTTTCCTCTATGAAACACATTATCAGGAGAATAAAAAGACAAGCCATGATCTGGGAGAAGAGATTTGCAAAATACTTTTCAGATAAAGGATAATTATACAAAATATTCAAAGAACTCTTAAGATTCAATATTAAGCAAACAAACAACTCCGTGTAAAAATGCACCAATGATGCTAACAAACACCTCACCAAAGAAGACATACTGACAGCAGTAAGCATATGAAAAGATACTTTAAATTATAGGTAATTGGGGAAATGCAAATTAAAACAAAAATAAGATATGACTACACCCTGATTCGAATTGCCAAAATTCAGAACACTGACAACACCAAATACTGACAAGGATGTGGAGCAACAGGAATTGTCATTTATTGCTGGGAGGAATGCAAAATGACAAGACAGTTGGAAGACAGTTTGGCAGTTTCTTATAAAAACTAAACTTACTCTTACCATATGATCCAGCAATCATACTTCTAGATATTTACCCAAAGGAGTTGAAAATTTATGTCCTCACAAAAGCTGGCATATCGCTATTTATAGCAGCTTTACTCATATTGCCAAAACATGGAATCAACCAAGATGTCCTTCAGTAGGTGAATGGATAAATAAACTATCCATCTAGGCCTTGAAGTCTTTATCACTAGAGAAGAAATGAGCAATCAAGCCACATAAAGACATGGAGAAAAGCTAAATGCATATTATTATTTAAAGAAGCCAATTGTACAAAGCTACATTCTACACGATTCCAACTATATGACACTCTGGAAAGGGCAAAAATATGAAGATAGTGTCAATAAAAAGATAAGTGTTTGCCAGGATTGGAGAAGTAGGGATGAACAGGTAGAGCAGAAAGGATTTTTAAGGCAGTGAAACTACCCTATATGATACGATAATGATTAATATATGTCCTTATAAATTTGTCCAAACGCAAAGAATGTACAATGCCAAGAATGAATCCTAATATGGACATTGGGTGAAAATTATGCGTCATCGTAGGTTCACAATTGTAAGGAATGCACTACTCTGGTGGGAGGTGTTGATTATGGGGGAGGCTATGCATGTGTGGGGGCAGGTGGTATATATGAAATCTCTGTACCTTCCTCTCAATTTTTCTGTGAACCTAAAACTGCTCTAAAAAAATAATGACCACAAAAAAAATGCAGAGCTTCTTTGAGGAGAAAAAAAAAAAACACCACCACCACCAACAACAAAAACAGCAACAACAACAACAACAAAAAACAATAGAAATCTAACTCCTTTTGGTGATTAAACACATATGCTTGTATTTAAGGAAAAGTAATTGGGGTAGAAAGAGTTACAAAGAAACTTCACAGTATATAATATGTACTTCTATAAACTTTTTTACAATGAGCGTAAATTAATACATTACATATAGAATATTAAAATTGATTAAAATGCAGAAAAATCAATATAATTAATCCCATGTACGCTTATAAAAACTATGTAGAATTATAAAAAGTAGTTGAATTTTGTTCCTTTTTAAGTCTATGAAAATCAGAGAATAGTGAAGTAACTGTCCAATTTCTGATACTCAGTGTTTTGTGTTTATGAGTGGAAATAAACCCTCTAGGTGAATTTCCTGGGAAAAAGTCACCTTCTCTATCAAACATAGACTGCAAATTTTCACCAGGATTTACTAAATATATACTTTTAAAATAAATATTATCTTTAAATTTTAAATAAATATTAAGTACACAGATCCTAGTGTACAGTGAAACTAACCTTGTATTTTGGGGATAATTAAAACTTGGTCATGATATATAATTCATTTTACATATAACTAGATTTGATTAGTTAATATTTCATTTAAGATGTTAATTTTTATGTTTGAGAGTAGTCAAAAATTTTGATTTCTTGAAATGTCCTTTGTTTCAACGCTACTAGCACCAGAAAGCAAGTTGCCAGGTCTTTTTTATATTCCTACCTTCTGTAATAGTTTCTGTAAGCTTAATTTCTAATAGATGTCATCAACAAAATTGCGCTGTTCTGGAGATTTATTTGTTGTAAGATTTAAAAAATCCTTGTCTATTTTTTAAGAGATGAATGAATATTCAGATTTTATATTTATTTTTATGTCTTTATTTTGTTAGTTTTTTATTAACAATTATTCCATTTCATGTAAAATTTTGAAGTTATTGACATAAAGGTGTTCAAATGCACTATTATCTCTTTAATATCTATAAATGTAGCAGTAACCTTTGCTTTTTATTCCTGATATTGTGATTTGTACCTTCTTTCCCACTCGTTTTAATCATAAATTATGTTCATCTTCTAAAAGTTTTTTGTCATTTATTTTTGATATTTATTATTCCTTTATTTCATTTTAGGTAATTTTAATTTACTCTGTTTTCTAACTTCTTAGGATAGACAGAAACAAATAAATATAGATTTTTCAGCCTTTGTTTTTTTCTGCTACATTTACTTAATGCTACATATTTGCTTTTAAGAATAGCTTTAGATGAACCTATAAGATTTGGGAGGACATTCCTTCATGAATATTCAATTCAAATTATTTTATAATTTCTGTTGTGATTTTTCATAAATTTTCAAACATTTGGACATTTTGTGATTTTCTCTGTTATTGTTTTGTACCTACCTCCCACAGTGGTCAGAAAACATACTTTATATATATATATATATATGTCACTGTAGTCAGAAACCATGCTTTCTAATATTTTAATCCTTGGATACTTGTCAAGACTTGTTCTATGGACCACTATATTGTCTATCATAGTAAATGCTCTATAAATTTAAAAAAATTCCTTCCTGTCTTGATCTTATTGCATCAATTACTAAGAGACGAGTTGGAAAATCAACTATGTGTGTGGAGTTTTATGTCTACTTTTAAATATATATTGAAGCTATTACTAGTGTATAATTTTTACCTATTTTCATGTTGAATTTATTATTTTATAGTCACAAATGATCTCGATATATAGTAATATTTCTTCCTTAAAGTTTATAGCATCTTTCTTTTGGTAAGTGTAAATATACCTTTTCTTTTTACTTTCAATATTTTTATCCTTATATTTTAAATATATCTTTTATGAAGAATGTTTTGTTCTGTAAGGATTTTTTTGGCAAATATATAAAAAGGATTTATTAACCCATAGTCTAGAAGAAGGGTAATTCATAAAATAATTAAAACAAAATCTATTGCAATAACAACTTATATTTTATTGTGAAATTAACATAAGCAGTTAAGATGAAGTTTAATAGAAACCTTAAGGTGCAGATTCCAATTCTGCAGTTCTTCAGATGAATTAATCCCTCTACAGCCTTTCTCTCCCACTGATTATAACAAAATTTTGGGCCAAAATGAAACACACACTGCCTGAATACTCTGAAAAGTAATTAAAAGCAGGGGAATTATGGGAAAAAAGACAAAATTCAAAGAAATATTAGTACAACGGTGGAGATCTGATTTTTTTTCCTTTCATTTTTCATTTTGCTTCTTTTTTATGTACCAGCTATGGCCAAAGGTGTACTGAATCCATACGACAGGAGGAATCAGGAAAAATGTCAAAGGCAGCCAGTTTTTTTGGACAGGGGATCAGGTATATCAGGTATCAAGGGCTCTGAGAGTAAGAATGTAGAGTAATTCCCATTATTTTTGTTATATATCTCTTTTTTCTCTTTTATACCTGCCCTGAATTCAGCTCCAGTCCCAGATCTGTACTACCATTGTCATCACAGAAGCACAGGCACCATTTGCGAAAAATCTGTCCCTCTGGTAGAGAAATCAAGGAAAGAGCCCTCATTGTGCAGAGAGTGTTTGGGAAAATCCCCATTGATTGACTGATTGAATTATTTTATCTCCCTGTTTTTTTCACTGTTTTACTCTGAAGAAAGCTTCAGTTGTGTGGCACTGTGTGACAGTGCTGGATCCTAAAACAAAACTCTAAGAGAAATCAGTCTTTCCGGCCATAGCAATTGATGAAAGATATTCCTCACATGAAGAGAATGTGGAGGAAATTACTGAGAAGAGGGAGGTGGAGGAGAGCCCTCAGTTTGTGCATAAATGGACACGTGTTGGGCTCAGCTCCACATTGCACATGCCTGGATGTAACTGCGGGAATTATAAGAAAGACTTTGAGAACTGAATTAAAACAGGAACACTGCTGAGTTCAAAACCATATCTTGAGTCTGGTATAGAGTGGCAGACCTAAATAATTAGTGCCTGAGAAGCCTTTCGAAATTCAATAGACATTGGAATCCATGCCACAGCAGTCAGACAGAACTGGCATTGTGAATCTAACCTATTGAATAGCCTGCCAAAATAAAATTATGAAAATTTACCGTAGGAATTAACCAGGTCCCAGAGGTAAATTAAAACACAGTAGCCACAATGTTCAGAATACCATTCCAGTTCTTGGTAAGAGACAATAAGCTTTGTTCATATTAATTTTTACTTGGAAAACAATTTGTAAAGCCAAGGCAGAAGGTATGGGAAAAAGTTTATTTCGGGAAATTCTGAAGGAAGCCCTGTGGTGCTGATGGGAAGAGCTCAATAATAGAGTTTTTAGTTTTTGCTTGAGGAGCAAAAAGAGAAATTCCTAAAATTCTGAAAGAGAGTATGGAAATATGCTCCTTCCTCAGTTTTTATTTATTTTCTTATTTTCACTATTGTCTCACAAACCAGCAACAGGGTAATTCCTCATTGTTCCTAGGCAGAGGCCATTGACAGGGGGAGCCAAAACTCTGATAGGGGGAATAATTCCCTTCCTCTTGGTGGAAATTTAGGTAGGAAAAACAAGATAGGCCATCATAGAAGCATTAAAGTCTTTGGTTTGTTTGAAAAAGACATAAAATTCAATATGGTATCAAGGGGCAGATTCGTTAGAATACAAAATGAACTTCAAAAGGAAATGACCCTGTGTATTGAGAAATGAGATTGAGATATTGTTCTGTAATAATTGGAGCATCAGAATAATGTAATCATTACATATACTAAGTCAATACAATGTCAACATAAAAGACAAATTAAAACATTTAGTAATGCTTTCTATCTTCTCTCTACCTACTTTTATTCAGATGTCATTTGATATGGTTTGGCTGTGTCCCCACCCAAATCTCAACTTGAATTGTATCTCCCGGAATTTTCACATGTTGTGGGAGGGACCCAGGGGGAGGTAATTGAATCATGTACTATTCTCATGAGAGTGAATAAGTCTTATGAGATCTGATGGGTTTATCAGGGGTTTCTGCTTTTGCTTCTTCCTCATTCTCTCTTGCTGTCGCCATGTAAGAAGTACCTTTCACCTCCTGCCATGATTCTGAGGCCTCCCCAGCCATGTGGAACTGTAAGTCCAATTAAATCTCTTTTTCTTCCCAATCTCAGGTATGTCTTTATCAGCAGCATGAAAACAGAAAAATACAGTAAGTTGGTACCAGTAGAGTGGAGCGTTGCTGAAAAGACACCCAAAAATGTAGAAGCAACTTTGGAACTGGGTAACATGCAAAGGTTGTAACAGTTTGGAGGGCTCAGAAGAAGACAGGAAAATGTGGGAAAGTTTGGAAACTCTTAGAGATTTGACAAAAATGCTGATAGTGATATGAACAATGATGTCCAGGCTGAGGTGGTCTCAGATGGATATAAAGAACTTGTTAGGAATGGGAGCAAAGGTGACTCTTGTTATATTTAGCAAAGAGACTGGTGGCATTTTGCCCCTACCCTAGAAATTTGTGGAACTTTGAACTTGAGAAAGATGATTTAGTGTATCCGGTGGAAAAATTTTCTAATCAGCAAAGCATTCAAGAGGTGACTTGGGTACTGTTAAAAGCATTCCGTTTTAAAAGTGAAACAGAGCAAAAAAGTTCAGAGAATTTGCAGCCTGATGATGCAGTAGAAAATAAACCTTTTTTTTTTTTTTTTTTTTGAGAAGAAATTCAGGCCAGTTGCAGAAATTTACATAAGTAACAAGGAGCTAAATCTTATTCCCCAAGACCATGGGGAAAATCTCTCTAGGCCATGTCAGAGACCTTCATGGTAGCCCCTCCCATCACAGGCCTGGAGGCCCAGGAGGAAAAAGTGGTTTCAAGGGCTGGGCCCAGGCTCCCTCTACTGTGTGCAGCCTAGTGACTTCATGCCCTGTGTCCCAATCACTCCACCCATGGCTGAAAGGGGCCAAAGTGCAGCTCAGGCTGTGGCTTCAGAAGGTGAAAGCCCTAAGCCTTGGCAGCTTCCATGTGGTGTTGAGCCTGCAGGTGCACAGAAGTCAAGAATTGAGGTTTGGGAACCTCAATTTCAGAATATGTATGGAAACGCCTGGATGCCCAGACAAAAGTTTGCTGCAGGGGCAGGGCCTAATGGAGAACCTCTGCTAGGGCAGTGTGAAAGGGAAATGTGGTATCAGAGCCCCCACACAAAAACTCTACTGGGGGACTGACTAGTGGAGCTGTGAGAGGATGGCCATCATCCTCCAGACCCCAAAATTGTAGATCCACTGACAGCTTGCACCATGTGCCTAGAAAAGCCACAGACACTCAATGCCAGCCTGTGAAAGCAGCCAGGAGGCAGGCTGTACCCTGCAAAGCCACAGGGGCAGAGCTATCTAAGATTGTGGGAACCCACTGCTTGCATCAATGTGACCTGGTTGTGAGACCTGGAGGCAAAGGTATCATTTTGGAGCTTTAAAATTTGACCGACCCACTGGATTTCAGACTTGCATGGGCCCTGTAACCCTGACCAATTTCTCCCATTTGAAATGGCTGTATTTACCCAGTCCATGTACCCTCATTGTATCTAGGAAGTAACTAGCTAGCTTTTGATTTTATAGGCTCATAGGCAAAAGGGGCTTGACTTGTTTCAGATGAGACTTTGGGCTGTGGACTTTTGGGATTAATGCTGTTATGAGTTACAACTTTCTGGGACTGTTGGGGAGGCATGATTGGTTTTGAAATGTAGGGACATGAGATTTGGAGGGTCAGTGGTGGAATGATATGGTTTGGCTGTGTTCCAACTGAAATCTCAACTTGAATTGTATCTCCCAGAATTCCCACGTGTTGTGGGAGAGACCCAGGGGGAGGTAATTGAATCATGGGGGCTGGTCTTTCCCATACTATTCTCGTGATAGTGAATAAGTCTCATGAGATCTGATAAGTTTATCAGGGGTTTCCACTTTTACTTCTTCCTCATTCTCTCTTGCTGCTGTATAAGAAGTGTCTTTCACCCTCCATCGTGATTATGAGACCTTCCCAGCCATGTGGAACTGTAAGTCAAATTAGACCTCCTTTTCTTCCTAATCTCGGGTATGTCTTTATCAGCAGTGTAAAAACAGACTAATACATCATTATATGCTCCAAAATTATTTTATATTACTCACTATAATTCACTTCTGACATTATTATTTTGGTACTCAATTATCTCAAATGTGGGCAATGAAGTCCTCTCAACTCAGCTCTTATGCCCTTTTTAAATATGTGGGCTCAGAAAGAAGGTTAGGACAGCCATTATCTCCATTTCTACTGAACATTGCATTGGTGCTATTAACCAATTCAGTTAGACAAAAGAAAATAATTATGGGCACAGAAGCTGAAAGGGAGAACTGAAATAATCTCTATTTGCAAATTATACATAGATTTTAAAATAGAAAACATTGAAAATAATTGAGCTTATATTTCAACTTTAGAAGCAGCACAGAAAGCAATGGATTATCAAAAATAATTTTCAGATAAATATTAGAATAAAAGTGTAAAAATGAATAAATAGGCAAAAAGCAAGACAAAAGATCAATTACCCATAATCGTTAAGAATGTCAATCAAAATGACAAATTCTAAAAATTATAGCTTGAGCCTGCTGTAAGGGTGTAATCATAGAAAAATTACTGTTGATCTCCCCTTTTCATTTCTTCTTATGCACTCAGAAGTATGCTGAGTTTTTTGTCTGCACCTGGTGATAAGTTAGGATATACCCAGAAACTTGAGAAGTAATTGGTGGGATTGTGAGGATCAGAAAAACCTCGAGAAAATGAATAAAAGACCCCTCTAAATCCTTACCAAGATTAGGCTACTGGGGGCCTTTACGGGGATTTTATCTAGATGTGTTTGTTTCTCTGAAGCAGATATTGTTGCTAAATCTTGAGTGTCCTCCTTCAAACAGTTAAGTAATTGCACATTTCATCTACCCTAAGGTAGCTTTTAGATTTTGTTTTGTCACTGGCCTTTATGCTTGTGTATACTTTCAAACCCCTAATATATTTTGTGAAGTAAAAATTGTTTAGAGAATGATTAAACAATCCCAGGAAAAACAAGGGTGATTGTAAAATAGCATTTTGAATAAATCTTATGATTTTTAATCATATTTTTAAATTTATATTTTTGAGAATTTTGAAATATTTTACATTTTAAAAAGGCAAATAATTTTTTTAAATGTAAGATCTTTAAATTCTAGAACATATAGATTTAAAAGTATTGACTAAAATAGGAAGACAAAATCAAAATGTGTCAATGACCATTAGAACTGAAATAAAATTTCTAATCAATGGGAAATTTTTATCTTATAACCTTTGAAGATGAGTAAATTTTGACACCAAAATAGGTTGGAGAGGAAGTTCAACATAGTTAAATTACAGACTAATCTCACATAAAAACATAGATTTAACCATTTTAAATAACACATTAGCTAATCAAGGAGAGTAGTTTTTTTAACTAAATAGTGAGTAAGTATGGTTTATATCAGAATGCAAAATTAATTTACTATCTATATGACAGTACAGATAATATTGGTGAGCACATAAAATTATTTGATAAACTTGTATGTTTATGAATTTAAAACAAATTTTAGCAATCTAAATATTAAAGGGAATTTAAAACAAATTTTAGCAATCTAAATATTAAAGGGAAATTTTTAAGTGACATATATCTTCAGCAAAAAGCTACAGTGCAAAGCACATTTATTATTTTTTACTTTTTACTTTTGAAGACAATGTTTCTTCTGGTACCAAGGACCAAGGAACATAGCACATTTAAAGGTCCAATCTAAAAAATCCTTATAAATGCAACAAGACATGTGAGATAGCTGTAGTAGAGGAGAAAGATAAACTATCCATATATGCAGATGATATGATTGTTTATATAAATCACCAAAAAAAGAGACAATATAGTTTTTTTTTAATAAGAGTATTGTAAGGTTTCTCGATGCAAGATAAAAAAATTGTTAACAAATTTATTCTTGAAAAAAGACAACTCTACATATCACAGGTGCCCCTTTCCTCCCCCATTTAGTAGTTTACCAAGAAACTATTTCATCAGGTTTAGTTACCTTCTTCCTAAGCAGCTAAGCTCCTTCTTCCTAAAAGGCCATGTCCTTGATGGAGTTTCCATTTCTTCCCTTTTGTTTGTAGAACTATTAGGTGGACAGCTCTTCCAGGGAGGGGGGGTATTCTCTATGTGCTTCCTCATAGTTGGCTTAAGCCCAGCTCTTTTGGGGTGATAAGAGTTTGAGGAAAACAGAGTGCTTGACGGATTCTGTGCTTGAAAATTTACATTCAAAATGTAAGCAACTAGTATGTGTTTGGTGATCCAATATATGATACCATAATTATGCATTTAGAAAATTTTATGGGGAAACATGCCATTACAATAGCAGTGTCATAAATTACCTAGAAATAAATCTATAAAAGAATGCAAAAACTTTTTGTAGAAAATTACATAGCATTCTCTACAGAATAAAAGAGAATGAAAATGAGACAGACATGACTGCTATTCACAGATGCTAACACTAATATCAGGAATATGAAAACTTTTGTGTAGAAATCTATAAATCTATGAATAAATGCATTAATCTGGAAATTAACCCAGATAATAAAGTCTAGAGCTTTTAGAGATATTGTGTGTCTGTGTATGTGTATATGTGTATATATATACATATATACACGTATACTATATATGTATATGTATACACGTATACATATACATATATACACGTATACGTGTATACATATACATATATACGTGTATACATATACATATATACGTGTATACACGTATATATACATGTATCTATGCATGTATACACATATATGTATATACATGTATATACATGTATACATGCATAGATACATGTATACACATATATGTATATACATGTATATACATGCATACATGCATAGATACATGTATACATGTATATATGCATATATACATATATACGTGTATCTATGCATATATACATGTATATATACATGTATACATGCATATACATGTATATATACATGTATACAGGCATATACATGTATATATACATGTATACAGGCATATACATGTATATATACATGTATACATGCATATACACATATAACATGTATATATACATATAACATGTATATATACACATATATACATATACAAGTGTATACATATACACGTGTATATATACACGTATATACACGTGTATATATACACGTATATACACGTGTATATATACACGTATGCATAAATACATGTATACATGTGTACATGCACATACATACATGTATACATGTGTACATGCACATACATACATGTATACATGTGTATATACTTATATACACGTGTATATACGTATATGCATGTGTATATACATTTATACATGTGTATACATATATACGTGTACATATACATATATACATGTGTATATATATACGTGTACATATACATATATACATGTGTATATATATGTACATATACATATATACATGTGTATACATACATATATACATGTACATATACATATATACATGTGTATACATACATATATACATGTACATATACATATATACATGTGTATACTTACATATATACATGTACATATACATATATACATGTGTATATATACATATATACACGTACATATACATATATACATGTACATATATACATGTATACATATATACATGTACATATGTACATATATACATGTATACATATATACATGTACATATGTACATATATACATGTATACATATATACATGTACATATGTACATATATACATGTATACATATATACATATGTACATACGCACAGATAGACATATATACATATGTACATACGTACATATATACATACGTACATATATACATATATACATACGTACATATATGTACATATACATATCTACATGTATACATATGTACATATACATATCTACATGTACATATATACATGTACATGTACATATATACATGCACATATATACGTGCACATATACATATATACATGTACATATATACGTGTACATATACATATCTACATGTATATATACATACATACATGTACATATCTACATGTATATATGCATGTATACATGTACATATCTA
This sequence comes from Homo sapiens, assembly GCF_000001405.40. Classification (NCBI taxonomy): domain Eukaryota; kingdom Metazoa; phylum Chordata; class Mammalia; order Primates; family Hominidae; genus Homo; species Homo sapiens. Next base: position 194,049,720 of record NC_000002.12, read on the forward strand.
CATGTATATATGCATATGTACATATATACATGTGCATATATACATGTATACATGTATACATGCGCATGTATACGTATATACATGTATACATATATACATGTGCATATATACATGTATACATGTATACATGCGCATGTATACGTATATACATGTATACATATATACATATACATGTATACGTATATACATGTATGTACCTATATACATGTATATATGCATGTATGTACCTATATACATGTATATATACATACATACATACATGTATATATACATATATACGTGTATATGTACACGTAGATATGTATATATAGTTTACATGTATACATACATGTATAGTTTGTATGTATGTGTAGTTTTCATATATACATATATGTACATATACATATATGTAAACTATATATAGTAATAAAACTGTGTAGCAGTATGCTTTGGAAGGGTATATATATACTTCAGAAAAAAATGGTCACCTTGTGGGGTAAAAATGCCATTAGAAGAGGACATATTGGGGTGCACTGATCATGAAACATTTTTTTCTAAAATAAATGATGTTTGAGTTTAGTTATTTTACTTAAAAGCAGCCATTGGTGTATGGATGTTCATTATATTATATGTTTATAAAGATTTTTTTATAGTCTTTGTCCTCTCCTAACATTAGACATCAACAAAGTGTACTCTTTTCTTTTTGCTCCCTGGCTCTTGGATACAGTTGATGCCATGGGTTTTGGAGACCTGAAAAGCCCCACCAACTTCCAGGAACTCAATGATTACCTGGAGGGCAAGTGCTGCACTGAGGGATATGTGCCATCCCAAGTACTGAGACAGTATTTGACACAGTCGCTGGCCCACTGCCTGCTGACAATATGCTGACAGATTAAAATAATCAATAAGACAAAAATGACCATACTGCCCAAAGCAATTTACAGATTTAATGCTGTTCCTAACAAACTTCCAATGTCATTTTCTACAGAATTCAAAAAAAAAATTCTAAATTTTATGTGGAACCAAAAAAGAGCCTGAATGGCCAAAGCAATCCTAAGTAAAAAGAACAAAACTGGGGGCATCATACTACCTTACTTCATATTATAGTAAAAAACTATAGTAACCAAAAAAACTTGGTACTGGTACAAAAACAGACACATGGACCAATGGAACAGAATAGAACACCCAGAAATAAAGGTGCATACCTACAAGCATCTGATATTTGACAAGCCAACAAAAAAGCAATGGGGAAAGGAATCCCTTTTCAATAAATGGTTCTGGGATAGCTGGCTAGTCATTTGCAGAAGATTAAAGCTGGATTCCTACCTTTCACCATGCACAAAAACTAACTCAAAATGGATTAAAGATTCAAATGTAAGACCACAAACTTTAAAAATCCTGGAAGACAACCTAGGAAATACTTTTCTCAACAGTGGCCTTGGCAAAGAATTTTTGACTGTGTCTCCAAAAGCAGTTGCAGCAAAAAAGAATTGACAAGTGAGACTTGGTTAGACTAAAGTGCTTTTGCACAGCAAAATAAACTATCAACAGAGCAAACTAATAACTAATAGAATGGGAGAAGATATTCACAAACTATACATCTGACAAAGGCTTAATATCCAGAACCTAGAGATAAATTAAATGAATAAGCAAAAAAAAAAAAACCCTATTAAAAGTCAGCAAATGACATAAACAGACACCTCTAAAATTAAGACATACAAGTAGCCAACAAACATACACAAAATGTGCATCACTAATCAAAAGAAAAAAAATACCCCAAAAAAACCAAATCATTCTACTAAAAAGACACATGCACTTATATGTTCATCACTGCGCTATTCACAATAGTGAAGACTTGGAGTCAACCCAGGCGCCCAACAATGGTAGATTGGGTAAAGAAAATTTGGTACATATATACTATGGTTTACTATACAGCCACTAAAAAGACTGAAATCATGTCCTTTGCAGCAACATGGAAGGAGCTGGAGGCCATAATCTTAAGCAAATTAATGCTCCTCATCACTGGTCATCAGAGAAATGCAAATCAAAACCACAATGAGATAACATCTCACACCAGTTAGAATGATGATCATTAAAAAGTCAGGAAATAACAGATGCTGGAGGGGATGTGGAGAAATAGGAACGCTTTTACACTGTTGGTGGGAGTGTAAACTAGTTCAACCATTGTGTAAGGCAGTGCGGCGATTCCTCAAGGATGTAGAACTGGAAATACCATTTGACCCAGCAATCTCATTTCTGAGTACATACCCAAAGGATTATAAATCATGCTGCTATAAAGACACATAGACACGTATGTTTATTGTGGCACTATTCACAATAGCAAAGACTTGGAACCAACCCAAATGTCCATCAATGATAGACTGGATTAGGAAAATGTGGCACATATACACCATGGAATGCTATGCAGCCATAAAAAAGGATGAGTTCATGTCCTTTGCAGGGTCATGGTTGAAGCTGGAAACCATCATTCTGAGCAAACTATCACAAGGACAGAAAACCAAACACCGCATGTTCTCACTCCTACCTAGGTGGGAATTGAACAATAAGAACGCTTGGACACAGGGTGGGGAACATCACACACTGGGGCCTGTCATGGAGTGGGGGGCAGGGGGAAGGATAACATGAGGAGAAATACCTAATATAAATGATGAGTTAATGGGTGCAGCAAACAAATATGGCACATGTATACCTATGTAACAAATCTGCACGTTTTGCACATGTACCCTAGAACTTAAAGTATAATAATAAAAAAGAAAATTAATACCGAAAGAGAAAACCAAATACCACATGTCTGCATTTGTAACAAGAACTAAGCATTGAGCACACATGGATGTAAATATGGAAACAATAGACACTGTTGACTACTGAAGGGTGGAGGAAGGGGGTGTGGGTTAAAAAAAGAAACCTATCTATTTGGTACTCTGCTCACTACCAGGGTTACGTGATCTGTACTCCAAATCCCAGCATCACACAGTATTTCCATGTAACAAATCTGCACCCTCTGTATCTAAAATAAAAGTTGAAATTAATAATAATAATAGAAAGTAATTTTTTAAAAAGATAAATAGTCAGAAATCTTAAAAGGGTAAAGATTTCTAATTGGAAGACCCACAGTGTGTTTGCTTCAACATAAAATTGAACGATTCACTTGCGGGTTTTTTGTTTGTCTGTTTGTTCATTAGTTTGAACACCAAGAATTTCACTATTCCATAGATGGATTAAAAATATGTTTATGCATTTTAAATATTTTACAATAAAATATTTTAAAATGCTAGTTGAGGGAAGCTGTATCAAGTGAGGACAAATTTGTATCTGGAACTTAAAACAGGGCAAAAGCTGAAATAGAGAGAAGTCCATGACACTAATGACCTTAATATCATAGATACAGATTAAATAGTAAATTATGATTTTTCTCATCTAAATTTCCTTGAAAACTACTGAGGATACATTGACTACCATCACAAACAAGATGCTCAATAAGAAATATAAGATCCCTGCTCAAAATTTTGCAGAAGTGACCCATTTATGACAATATTTCAGTCTTAATGAATCCTGAGCATGTAATTTTCTTAAAATAGAATTTTATAAAATATAATTTAGATGCTAGAATTATTGTTATCTTTGTATCTGACTCTTGTTGATCTTTTTAACAGAAGGTTAAGGCTTTCAAAATCTCGAGTTATGGATATTAATAAGTCATGCAAACTCTCCCTCTCAAAATCCCAACCATCTTTACATATTTGACAGCTGCTGGAGTGTAGACAGTCTTCCAGAAATAAAGGAATGTAAAGCACACTGGAGGAGTGTAGACACTGCATAAGCAAGGAAACCCAGAAATGTTACTCAATGGGAATTATTTTATGCTATTGGATGTAAGGATGATACAGAAAGCTAATTCGTAACTATACAAATTGACTAAAACCTAATAAAATAACCTTATATATATTGAGTGCATCATGTTAATGGGAAAAAGATGACAATTGCTTCCTCTTCTCAATATTATCACCAGCAATTGTTTTGATTTAGGTCAATATACAAAGATACAAATTAACCAGTTATAGTTTTACTTATTATTCTTAAAAATTCAGTCCTGATTACGTGTTATGTTTAGAATTATTTCTGTTTAGTTTGTTCTTCTATGATAGTCAATTAAGTTTTTTTAGATTAATAAATTGATTCACCTATGCCTATAGAAATGATAACACAAATAATATTTTCCTATTTATCCAGGATGCCAACTTTCCAGTTATAAAATTGAGCTAATTTGAAGACAATGGTTTATTTATACTCATCACTGGGATTTTTGGAAAAAAAAACACACAGAATTCTACTTTGTAGGAAAAGTTACTTTTTAAAGTCGTTATTCCCTGAGGTGGCATGTTAACTAAACAAGAAAAAAAAATAGAAAAAAGAAAAGGAAAAAACAAACAGTGAACCAGTAGAGGAGTCCACAGTATATGTTTACTTTATAAATGATTAATATACTCTTTTCTGGGTACAAATACATAATGACATGCCTGAAATTTGAAAAAAAATTATAAATATTAACAATAATAATTTCTGCTTTATTGGCTGCATTTTTCTTTTGGTACAAGATTTTAAAAATATATTTTCTCCCTACATAAATAGGTGCATGTTGATTTATAGAAAGCAACAAGTATACTTGCTAAAATCTTGCTTTTGAGGTAATTAATGATTAAGAATATATGCAACAAAAGAATTTTGTGTTTTATTGCTAAGGCAGCAAATTCTGCCCAATGTTTCCACAGCACATCCTCCAATTAAGAAGGCAGCTGTCATATTGACTGAATTGATAATCTGTTCACATGTCACCAGGGAATGTTTAAGTTGACTGGAATGTGAAGTCACTAGAGAATGTTCAGACTTCCAAATTAATGTTTCCTTGGAGTTTTGTCACTGACAACAAGAAAAAACATTAAGCTTAATTGTCTTTCTGGACTTGTAGAATCAGTCTTGTTGCTGTAGGTCTGTATTTTTAATACTGGCATAGGGCAGGGTCTTTAAAAAAAATAGTACAATAAAAATAAAGGTTATTAGTCTGTCTTGTGACTTTTGTCCAGACTCAAAAAGACTGATATGTACAAAAATTACATGGTTTTATGAAAATGTTTACATGAAGGCTTGTGAATTTTTAGTAGAACGAAAATTAATTTTACAAATCACATAACAAAATAAAATAATAGTAAAGTATAAAATTCGTCCTACTATGAGTAGCACATAAATTCTCTGTAACGGTCCTCAAATGCCTTCAGTCTATGTCTCCAAGTTCTATACAATGCTTTTGATACCTGACATCATGTCATACAACAGCATATAACAGACATGTGTGTGCACACGCACACACACGGACACACATACAGAACCTGAAGTTGACTGTTTTTGAATGATTTATATTACATACAGCATTTAAAAAACTTTCCCACCTTTTGTTGTTGTTGTTAGCTGCAACTCCACATTTTGATCTTAATGACAGAGGGGTCAGGCAGAAAAATACATATAATGATGGGAAATCAGAAGAGAATAAAATGAGAAAAAGCAAGAGAGAAGTACAAAACTAGATAGAAGAGGAAGAAACAGAAGATAATGCAGATTAAAAATAAGGTATAAAAAAAGAGAGCAGAAAATAAGAAACCCTAAAAATCTGCATGATTCTCAGCCCCTCATTTGGATGAAAGTGATTTAGGAAAGCAGTCCAGAAAACTTTTAAACCCAATTGTATTTGGCTTGAAAATCTGTATTGATCCTACTTAATGTTTTAAAATTTTACTTCCCTTTATATCACTTTTCACCATTATATTTCTCCATAGTCTGCATATCAGTCATTTGGAATGTATCTGACTAATATAAAAATATTTTAGATCTTGGCAGATACCAGAATTACAAATAGAAGTGAAGTAAAGAGTTAATTCTAGGTCAGGCGCAGTGGCTCACGCCTGTAATCCCAGCCCTTTGGGAGTCTGAGGCGGGCGGATCACTTGAGGTCAAGAGTTCGAGACCAGCCTGGCCAATAAGGTGAAACCCCGTCTCTACTAAAAATACAAAAATGAGCCGGGCATGGTGGCATGTGCCTGTAGTCCCAGCTACTCAGGAGGCTGAGGTAGGAGAATCCCTTGAACCTGGGAGGCAGAGGTTGCAGTGATCCGAGATCGTGCCACTGCACTCCAACCTGGGTGACAGAGCAAGACTCCTTCTCAAAAAAAAAAAAAAAGTTAATTATAAATTTAATGCATATTTCTATTTCTGGTATAATGTGAAAGTGAAATAAAATGTTAATGCACATGATAAAGTTGAAATATTTATATTAAATGAGTAAAGAAGTTTACAAAACTGAAAATATGATTCCAATTGTATAAGCAGAAATAAAAAGCTGGCTTATGGCAACTTTAGGTTGGACCTACCATCATAAGATGAGTTAGAAATTGAGTAGAACTCTCCCTAGCTGCTGTAACTGAATTCACAGGTGGGTAGAGGAAATGTGACATGAGACAAAAGACACCAGAAAGCATTTGTTATAGGAAATAAGACTGAACTGCAAAGATTTTTGGCCTGAGAAGCTAGAAGACTAAAACTTGAAACAATTGAAATTGGAAAAGTTATATGTGGGGCAGAATTTTTTTTCAGACTAACCGTAAGTTCAGTTTTGTTTGGGACAGGTTGAGTTTAAAAGGTCTACTTTTGTTCAAATGAAAATGTAAAATAGTCAAATAAATTTGGATTTAGTGTCTATGACTATTCTATATACATTTTATTAAATGTATATATAAATGTATGGATTTAAATGTCATCAGCAGGTTGATGCTGATTTAAGCACATTACTATGTTTTCATAGATAACTTGATTCTATTTTTCTCAATGTTATCCATTCATTTCCTCATTTTAAAAGTTTACCAATCTATCTGTCAAACAATGATATCATTCATATTTGAGCTCCAATCTAGACTGCCTTGAATTCATTATAATTCCTTGATTGACTCTAAGCTCTGGTTTCAAAATTTCTCATGATGTCTTGTGAAAGACTTTAAAGAATCCTACTCTTTGAGTTAATTCATTAATTGCCTGTAATTTGAGTAGAGGGTGGAAGCAATTTTGTGCTTTCAGATTCCATGTATATATCTCTCCTGCAGAACTCATACCCAATTCTTGAATTTCATTTCTGCCTACAATATTAGATCATTATCTATTCTCAATTAAAGCTGAGCTTCCTTTCATGGCTACTCTTAAAACATAGCCCCTAAATTTATTTTATTTTACCTATTCTTAAGTCTTTATCAATGGCTCTGACCAATGCCATCTATATCCTCAGTAATGAGTTCCGGTACTATTTCATCACTGAGCCTAGGATGATAATACTTACCCTAATGTTTTAAAATAAAATAATTTTAGCTACTTTAAATATACCTTTTGTTTTATAAAAATAGTTTATATTCATATCTCACATTGAATTTGTCAACAATTGAGTCAAATCTATATGTAATATAAATGACACATTTTATGGACAAAATGGTCTAATAATTGCTTCAGTAAACCATCTAAATACTTACACATAATAGTTTCTACATTCACAACTCTAGACCACTATTAATGTAGCACTGTAGTCACAAAAGCTTAGCTGTAGTGAGTTTCATTCAATCGACCATTTTATTTTTTCATTATAACATTGTTTTCTTAATTGTACTGAATTAACAACAAAATCTAAATAGAATATCAAGTAAAAGTTTATTTCAAAATGGTAAGGTAACCTATCTCAACAAGCTAGAAAAATCAAAGACCAAAATAAACCCAACACAATCAGAAGGAAGGAAGTTATAAAGATATTAGCAGAAAACAAGTATATTGAAATTAAGAAATTAGATAAAAATCAATAAAACAAAAGACAATTCTTTGAAAATATCAATAAAACTGAAAAACTTCTGGAAAAACCAACACTAGTAAAAAGAGAAATCACCAAAATCAGGAGTGAAATGGGATATATTACCACAAATCCGGAAGCCATTAAAAAGAGAATGAGCTACATTCAACCTTACACTCACAAGGTAAACAATTTAGATGAAATGAATCAATTCCTCAAAATCCACAAGCAACCACAACTCAACCAAGTTGAAACATATGAAGGTAATTTAAAAATTTTAAAACTCTCAAAATGAAAAATTTCAGTTGCAGATGATTTAACTAACGAAATCTATCAAATATTTAAAGAATTAACATGAGTTTTGCCTAATCTCTTCCAGAAAATAGAAGAGGAGGAAACATGTATTAATTTCCCACTGCTGCTGTAATCAATTGCCATAAAAAATGGCTTGAAGCAATTTGTATTTATTCTTTTACAGCTTTTTACCTTATGGAAATAAAATCCAGGTTTCATCAGGGTTGAGTCTTGACAAATAATTAAGGGAAAAATCTATTCCTCAACTCTTACAGCTTTTGGTGGCTGCTAGAATTCTTTGGCTTGTGGCAACATTATTATAGTTCTTTGATCTTCACATCACTTTTTCTTCTTTGTGTATAAAATCTCCCTTTGTTTCTGTCTTATAAGGACTCATGATTACAAAATACTTCAATAGACATCTATAAAATGTGTAGACTTCATATGCTGAAAATTACAAAATGCAGCTGAAAGACATCAAAGAGGGCCTAAATAAAACTGGAGGGATCAGAAAGAGAACAGTGGATAGTATCAATGTCGTTATCCTGATTAACTATTATATTAGTTTGGCAAAATATTACTTTTGGGCCAATTGCACAAGGAACAACTGTCTCATTTCTGATCACTGAATATGAATGTACCAATTATTAAATTTTACAAAGCTCAATTCTAAAAATTTACAGATCTAGAATAAATATACAATAAAGATATTTAATAATCTCTGTTACTGTTAGCCCTCTGCTCTAAAATTATCTTTATTTTTTATATATACATTTCTCAATGAATAGAAGAGTTGAGTTTTTGGTATACAAGTTAGATGGGATTATTCTTTGACCAAGACATTTTATATCTTTTAATACTCACTAATATTATGTACTTCTACTTGTTGAGTGATATAAAAATCCAGAAACACAGTAACTCAGAGTGCCACCAACTGACAATTCAGTTGTTCTTACTTAGTTTTAAAAATGTAAATAAACATGTCACATCTTGCATTATTAGACTATCATGAAAATGTGTGAGGGATTGTCGTAACTCATTTATTATATTTTCCTATTTATTTAAAAAGAATTGATCTTTACATAATGGCCAAAAATATTAGATCTGTATGTTAGTTAACTTAATTATAATATTTTTTACAAAGACTAGAATTTTTGGTTATTGGACTTAAGTTGGTATTTATAAATGTTAATCACAGTAGCAACTCTTTATCCTTACTTCTTAGCATTTTCCTTGTGTTTACTCATTTAGTGTTCTATGAGGATATTTTTATGTATAAATAACATTATTGAAGTGTATGAGAGAACAATAAATATTCTGTAACCCTAAATACCTTGCCATTTAGTTGCAAACCTTTGTATAAAAACACGTTAACTACTTTTTTATATTTTCTTCACCATTTAGTAGTAAAAAGCTTTCAGGTTTGTTAACCCAACAAAAATAGCCATATATTGTGTCACCTGATCACATTATACATATTATGGCATAATGTGTCTTTTAGCTAAATGTCTAGTGGTTTACTTTACCAAAGGCATAATCGGTGACATTAAACTCAAAAGGGTACACATTAATGCATTTATTAGAGAGTGATTTTAACTATATTGGCATTATTTGCTAAAGTAACTAAACAGACAAGTTTCTGAAAAGTGTAAATATTTAAGATAAACAAATACTCAACAGTTTAATAAAATTAACTACTTGTGCTAATTTGGTATTAATTACCACAACACTTGTTCATGTTGCTGTACTGTAGTTAAGAGTCTAACAGACTGTTCACAATACACTGTTATTTAGACACAATTAAAATATAAATCCAAAGGGAAAGAGCTTCCCTTTTAGAAAAACTGAACATACATATTTTATCACTATATATAGAGAGAATCCTTACATGTTAACAATTACTGGACCTATTTATCCTATCTCTGGTATCCATAGATTTCACAATACCTTTCTTAAAGACATGTACATATTCCTCAAAATTTAAGTAATTCGATGAGTTTTTCTTTGAGCACCTTCAATATTTTCTGTTTTAGGAAAGAAGAGTCATATAGTTTGCTCTGCTTTTATAACAACATATACTTTTGCTTATATTTTTTTATACACTTGTATATTAAAATATTTTGTAAGAACAGAGTTTCTACAGAACATTATTTTTTATAATTTAACAAAAATTATTAATGCAGTAGTGGTTGCCATCTCTTAGTCCCTAGTTCAGCTGGGTCTGAGTGCTTGTCCCATGATCAAGAAGAATAAAGCACATGGACACCAGAGAGTGAGTATAGTAGGATTTATTAAGCAAAAGGAAAGCTCTCAGCAAAGAGAAGGAGCCTGAAAGCAGTTTGCCAGAAGCTGAGTTCTCAGTCTTTTAAGTGGCAGAAGCCAGGAAGTCTTCTGTGGGATTTGTCCAAAAGGGAAGGGTAAAGTTCCCTCGTAGGGGTGTTGCATCTATGCATGCCGGGAGTCAGGCAGAGTGACTCCATCTTGGTTATTACCCATGAGTGCCTAAGCAAAACCCACAGGTGTGGGGGCTCAAACCACAATGCTAATGTCACGTTAACAACATTATAATGAGCTGGGTTAAGTTAAGGACTTTAGGTTGATTTATTGCACCTGCAACTAAGTTGGGACAGTTTCTTCTGAGCAACATCCTGGCACAAGGGGAAGTTCTTAACCACATTTCTTCCCATTAAATGCAGAGGTGGTGAGGGTGCTGTCCTGTGGTTGTTCCTGTGAACATTGCCCTTCTATGTCCTTCTCCCAAGACCTTCCCTCTCTATTTGCCTAGCCAGCCCCTAACTTGCTCTCTCTCAGTAGATGATCTTGCATATCTAGAAAAGTTTATCACTGAATCCCTTAAAATGTATTAAGTTTCATTTTGCCTTAAAATAAAATCAATACATAGGAGCTTAATGGATCTTACAATTATTTATCTCTTTTAAAGGTAAGTTTAACTATAACTTTACAGAATATTTTATTAGAACACTTTACCAATAAAAGATTGAAAATGCATTTTAAAAATTCAGTATGTCATGCTTCATTTTAGGAAACAAGATAAAAATGGATAATAAGAGCTTGCTAACATTGCTTATAAATCTCAACCATTAATATTATTTGAATACATATAAACAACAGAGACACACATTATTTTCTATGATTAATGTCATCAATCCAACTTGGATAGTTAACAAAGAAGCAGCAAGCTCAGTTCTTACAATGAAAACTTTAAGTTCAGATATTCTCAATGTTGTTTTAAGTGTGCATGTAGGGGCTTAAAAGGAAGAATGAATTGCTAGTCCATCATAACTTTTTGTTTAGGTAAAATTGCAGCATGATGATTCATGAGTGTATTAATAATACTTTAATATGTATGCTATGAATAATGTGGAGAGTTTGTATTTATTTTATTCTTTCCTGTATTAGCTCTATAGTCATATAAGCTGTATTATCTTATATGTATATGCTCTTTGTTTTGTTTTTGTTTGTTTGTTTGTTTCTTTTTTGAGACAGAGTCATGTAATATTGCCCTGGGTGAAGTGCAGTGGAGCAATCTCATCTCACTGCAACCTCTGCCTTTTGGGTTTACACAATTCTCATGCCTCGGCCTTCCAAGAATCTGGGATTACAGACATGTGCCACCATGTCCAGCTAATTTTTGTATTTTTATTAGAGAGTGTTTTGCCATGTTGCCCAGGCTGGTCTCGAACTCCTGGTCTCAAGCAATCCACCCACCTCAGCCTCCCAAAGTGTTGGGATTACAGGCATGAGCCACCATGCCCAGCCTTTTCTTATATATATATGCTTTTATAGATGTTGTATCTGGTAACTAAAATTGAATTTCCCTTTTATCATTTTCAGTTCAATTTTACTAATAATTTATACTACATTTTATAAAACATTACATCATAGTGGATTAGAAATTTAAAAGAATCAACCAAACAATTATTCATAAACCAAAGATAAGTTGACAATTTTGTCTATCCTAAAACACCAGGCATTATATTAATGTTCTATTACTATCTCAATGTTTTAAGTTTTGTATAATGAAAATTATGGATTAGTGCTGTTTTTAAAATTAGGCATATGGTACATTATAAATAATTTTGTAACTTTATTAGGTACATGTTAATAAACAATCAAGATATTATTTCTCCTTTCTGTAGAAATACATTAATATTTGTTTTGAGGTCTACTTTTAAGTTCTAAAAAGGAAAGGAAAGAAAAAGAGCAAAACAGATTTTAATAGTAAACAATTGCATTTTTTTTACATTTGACACAGTTGCAAGATTGTTTATGGCTTTCCATGGAGTTTCCCAAACTTTCTTTAACACATTTGTACTTTTACAAATTTACCTGTGTGCATGTAAGATAGATTGAAGGGTTGTTTATTAGACTTACATTATAACTGTCTCTGAACGGGGCCATAGAAAGAAATAGTGAATATGCAGAGTGTAAGTCTTTGAAATCAATGTTCTTTATTTCTATTGCAAAGAAGAGAGGGGAAGATGAAAGGTGTGGGTAGACATCTCTAGGTATGACATAGATACAAAAGCAGTGTGCTGCCTGAAGTAAATTATACCATGATGTGAAGACTGCTTAGTAATGAGGTTATATTTAATTCACTTCTCACTTTGAAAATAGTTGATTGGTGGGTAAAAATAGAGTTGACACAAGCAGCGATTCTGGCTAAGGAATCTCTACGGAGTAGCCCTTGTAACTGTAGATGCAGCATGGAACTCCATCCGCCTTAAAGCAGAACAGAGCTTCCTACTCTTACATACTGATTGTCAAGTGCAGAATGAGCCCAATCATTTCACACCTTCCCTTTACTTCTCCTTTTTTTTCTCCAAGTCTCTAAGAAAATAAGCAGCAGTGATTGTTTAGATTTAAAGCATACTAAATGCATACTTTGTTATAAAAATAAATCATTTATGAGAAAAAATTCCAGTAGTACCTGCCAAATGCTGATCATTTACTACCTATCAGAATTATGAATAAGCAAAGTATAGACATTAAGTCTTTTAATTTTTTACTAGAACAACTGTGAAATCTTTTCCTTTATCTCCCTTATATTAGACTATATACAGTAAATGAAATATAGAATCAGAATATAATAGAATATATAATCCTAAAATATATCTGTTTATATATAAAATATATCTATCTATCTCATCACCCATATATTTATAACTAGAATATACATATATATTTATTAGAGATTGAGTGAATATGTTCTACAATAATCCTAGTCAAGTCTGTTTTATTTCACTGCCAATGATCCTACTGCCTTTCTTCTCTATTTTCTTGGAAGAAATATTTAAACATATACAATAAATTGCATCACTTAGAAGTAAATATTTTCAACATCAAATATCATATTTCTAGCAATTTAACATGTATTTTTAAAACACATTATGAATGACATACTATAGCTTAAGTGCAAATCCTTCATGTACTCATTCTGAAAATAAACAGATCCCAACAGCTATTTGCTTTTCACTGTGTATCAACCATACTGCTGAGATTTGTCATTTTGCTTTGAAACAAGTAAAGAATGGGAAATATATCCATCCCTAAAGATCTTGCCTGAAAGATTCCACAGTTTATTCAACGACCGTCATGAAATTCAACTTCTCAGCTGATAAAACTATTGTACAATATCTAATGGACAAACATAAGGACACATTTATCTCTGATTCAGCATCTGAAAGCCAACTCTAGTATATTATTTGCTTTCTGTGGAATTTCATTCTGCACTACACTAACAAATTAAGCTGTTACAATTCTATACATTATATTGCTATTTTTAAATGTATGGCTTTCACCATTTCTGCTGCTGTATGCTCAATTAGGTAAGTGGTTATTATTGCAGGGTAAAGTTTATAAAATTGAGTTTCTGAAAACAGAATAGACAAAATGAGTAGAATGCAATTTTTTTTCAAAAAATATTTTGACTACATTTACTATTAGCTGAAATAATAAATGTTGAAACACTAACCTAAAGGTTGAGCTTACTTTAATTAGCTAGTTATATTTGGTTGCAAATCAAATACCCATGATTTTAATATGATATTTCTGTTGACATTCATTGTAAAATTACAGAGGTGTTTCACCAGACTAAAATATTTTATTGGAGTTAAATGTCATAATAAGGTAGATTAAGGACATTTTCTTGTGGAATGATGTTATAAAGTACAGCTGACTCTCAAACATGCAGGAATTAGGGGCATTGACCCTCACACAGTCGAAAATCCATGTATAACATTTTAGTCTCCCAAAACTTAACTGCTAATAGACTGCTGTTGACCAGAGGTCTTACAAATAACATAGTCAATGAACACATATTGTGAATGTTATATGTATCATATACTACATTATTACAATAAAGTAAGCTAGAAAAAATGTTAAGAAAATTATAGAGAAGAGAAAACATATTTGCTATTTAATAAGTGGAAGTAGATCATCATAAAGGTGTTCATTCTCATTGTCTTCATGTTGAGTAGGCTAAGGAGGAGGAGGAAGAAGAGGAGTCAGTCTTGGTGTCTTGTGGGTGGCAGAGGCAGAAGAAAATCTACTATAAGTGGACCCAGGCAGTTCTAACCCTTGTTGTTCTAGGGTCAGCTGTATTGTTACATGTTATGGACTAAATGTTTATATCCACACAAAATTTATTATGTTAAAACCCTAACATTCAAGTGTGACTGTTTGGAGTAAGAAAGTAATAAGGGTTAAATGAGGCCTATATTAGTCCATTTTCACACTGCTATAAAGAAATGCCTGGGACTTAGTAATTTATAAAGAAAAGAGGTTAAATTGGCTCACAGTTTCACAGGCTGTACAGGAAGCATAGCTGGGGAGGCCTCAGGGAACTTACAACTGAGGCAGAAGGCAAAGGGGAAGCAGGCATTTCTTACATGGCTGGAACAGGAGGAAGACAGAGACGGGGAAAGTACTACACATTTTTAAACAACCAGATCTCCTGAGAACTCTGCCCGAGAACAGCCCAAAAGGCAAAATTTACCCCCATGATCTAATCGCTTCCTACCAGGCCCACCTCCAACACTGGGGATTACAATTCAACATGAGATTTGGGTGGGGACACAGATCCAAACCATATAAAGGCCATAAGGGTGGGGCATGATTCAATAGATTAAGTGTTCTTATAAGAAGAGACACTAGAGAGCTATTTTTGTCTCTCTGTTTGCACTTAAAGGAGAGGTTGTGTGAGTACACAACAAAATGGCAACCACCCATAAGCCAAGAGAAGAGGCTTCGTAATAAAACTTACTTTGCTGGCACCTTTGTCTTGCATTTCACAGCTTCTCGATCTATGAGAAATACATGGCTGTTGTCTACGTAGTAGAAATACTACTTCCATCTGGTACCACAGACTGGTATTTTGTTATTGCAGCCCAAGATGACTAATACACTATATCTGATGAAAATAGAATTTTACCTTGTCTTTTCAATATTTCCATTATTTTGTGTGTTTTTCAGATTCTGGTCTTCACATTTTGAATTTAGACTCCATTTGGTGTTATTTGCAGATAAAAATTTTCACACGTAGGATAATATTTTGATTCCACATTTTCTACTCCTAAAACTATTACAACTAGAACAATATCAGAAGCTCATTGTCCTCTACCTGTAATTCTATTCATGATTCATATGCCCAGAATAGATGGCATTTTCTACACCATGAGGACTGGGTAAGTTTTATCCTTGTTGAGTCACAAATTGAATGTTTTTTTATAATTTTTATCAGATGTAATCTATGATTCTTAGGCCAAAATATCCAGAGAAGTAAAAATGAGATTACATTAATAGTGACAAATTATATATTGCTGGCAATAATCCTAACTATGATGTGAAAAATTTGCATTCTCTTTATGTTTTAACTAACGAATTCTAGAAATACACAAGTGTACCATACATATCATAGATATCCATAGTCTGTTCAATTATCTTGAAACTCTTACCCTTTTCTTGTATCATAGCAAACACTGAAAACTCATGAGATCTCTTGACTCAGTATCAATAGCTGTTTTTCCTTTGCCACTGATCCTGTCTTTATGACTGTTGTTGCTATACTCTTCTAATACTAACCAAAGTAATATTGAACCAGACTAAGTTTGTGCTTAAAATCTAAATGATACATAATGCTACTGATACATTGGAGCATTTGATTCGGAAACTTTGTGTTTTGCTACAAATTATGTAGTGCATCTCTTCTGTAGTTTATGACATGTTGCTTTACATGTATTTCAATGTTTCCTCATGTGCCTGCAATGTCACATTTGTTTTAAACAGCCACACATCTAGGAGTCCGAATTGGATATTAACCAATAATAATAGAAATTATTAAATTATTTATTGTTTATTTTGTAATAGGAACCTACAAGGTCAAAAATTATTATTACCTCTATATTATAAGGCAAAGTTGAGTCTATGGTTATTCAGAAACATACTTGTCCAAGATCATAAGGCTATTTGAAGAAGCAATGATTTGAACCCAGACATTATTAGGGATGGATATATTATTAATTACCTTTTTAATTAAAAATAACTTTTTTGTGAAAATAAGTGCATTTGGTGAGTAGCTATATATATAGTTTTATATATACAGTTATTTATATATATAATTATATATACATATATGTATATTCCTTCCAAAACCACATGGATTATCTCATACAAATCTCACACAAATGGTTACTAAGAATGACTAATCATCAACTGCATACTCCTGTAAACGTGACAAAACAATTATTGCTTGAAGTTGACTAGTTAAACTCAAGCTTGTACCTCTTGCTACAATAGCATAAACTCAATTTTATGTATTGCTATGTTAACACTGTATCCATAAATATTTTCATGATATTATGGTTTTTACTGGTATTTAGACTTATTGGACAGAAAATATTATTCAATGAATTACACTTTTCTTAACATTCTCTTAAGGTTAATTATTTGAAAAATTTAAAATTTTTATGATTAGAAAGAAAACTACAGTAAAACATGTTTTCTGCATATAGCTTTTTCTTATTTGGGAACATCTGTAAGGGAAGTGATCAGAATTGTGAAATTCATGTAAAAGATATTACAATGCTGGTAATATTCTGAGCAGCTTTAGAGCCTGTTAGGAGTAGAAGCAAGTAATTTATTTCACTTTAATATTACCAGAGTTTGGTATTGATTTATCTAAAATACGTACATAGTATCTTATACACATAGGACAGAGTGAGAAAAAATGCAATTCTGATCTGTAAGAACTTCACATTACATAACAAACAAAAATATGAATAAGCAAACTATTTTTAAGAACGATATTCAATACAGGACATACAACAAGGAAGTAAAAATAAAAAGACTTAAAAGGCCAAAAAAGAAAGAGTGTGTATTAACTGAGGATATTACAAAGATTTGATTTGTTTGTTCAATAAAATTGTATAAAAAACCATGAGAATAAAACCATATGTGTCATATATAAGGAAAGATAAATAGTTCAAAATTAGTTATTACGGAAAGTTTAAAATCATCTCAAGTTAGAAATTTTTGCAACAGAACAGGCAACAAGGTAATTGAGGTTTCCTGATTAAAATATTTAAAGAAGACTCAATACAGCAGCATTTCTCTCCAAATTCAAATGGCTGATTATTTTATTTTTAAATAATTTTAATATACAAATTTTCAAATATAGATTGAGCAACTGATAGTATTAAATTATACACATGCTACCTAAATTCAAGACTATTAACATTTTTTATATTTTATTTTCCTAACCATATTTATATCTGTATTTATGGCTATATATATTAATATCTATATATATATCAATATACTGGTATCTATATATAAAACCAATTAACAGTACATGGTAGACATCAGGGCAATTCACCCCTAATTCAGCAGGCATCTCCTAAAAATAAGAACTTTCTTTTTAATAACCCCAAGGTATTATTTTTTGGCTGTGCTTTTTAAACAGAATCCTAACATACTTGATGCACTGCATTTATTTCTTATGACTATTAGGTCTCTTTGAATCTAGGACAATCCCACTTCTTTATGACTCTAACTTTCTAAACAATTTACTTTATACAATCTTTGTAATTTAATTCGAATTGTTTTTCTCATCTGGTTGTTCACTACATAATCAAAAAATTATGTCTAAAGACATAATTAGATTAAGGTTAATAGTTTTTGGTATTAAAATTCTATGAGGTATGTTTTATATTTTATATTCCATCACATCAGCAATTCCATATTGTCAGTTTGTACTATTGATAGTGATGATCACTTTTTGAGATGGTAATGAGAAGATCCTGCCATAGCAATGCGATTTTCTTTTGTAGTTAACAAATATCTGGAGTAATATTTTGGCAATGTGGAAATATCTTGCTTTATAGCATTTTTTCACAAATGATTTTTCTATTGACTATACATGCCTAAATCAATTATAGTTGTGTCTGCTATTAACATGTTATGCGTGTTTATGAAAGACCTCATGATCTAAAAAATAACTAACAAAATATAGTAGGCTTATGCATACCATTCTTTTTTTATTTTTTATTTATTTATTTTTTATTATTATACTTTAAGTTCTAGGGTACATGTGCACAACATGCAGGTTTGTTACATATATATACATGTGCCATGTTGGTGTGCTGCACCCGTGAACTTGTCATTTACATTAGGTATATCTCCTAATGCTATCCCTCCTCCCGTCCCCCACCACACGACATGCCCTGGTGTGTGATGTTCCCCACCCTGTATCCAAGTGTTCTCACTGTTCAATTCCCTGCTATGAGTGAGAACATGCAGTGTTTGGTTTTTTGTACTTGTGATAATTTGCTGAGAATGGTGGTTTCTAGCTTCATCCATGTCTCTACAAAGGACATGAACTCATCCTTTTTTATGGCTGCATAGTATTCCATGGTGTATATTTGCCACATTTTCTTAACCCAGTCTATCATTGTTGGACATTTGGATTGGTTCCAAGTCTTTGCTATTGTGAATAGTGCCACAATAAATATACGTGTGCATCTGTCTTTATAGCAGCATGATTTATAGTCCTTTGGGTATATACCCAGTAATGGGATGGCTGGGTCAAATGGTATTTCTACTTCTAGATCCTTGAGGAATTGCCACACTGTCTTCCACAATGGTTGAACTAGTTTACATTCCCACCAATGGTGTAAAAGTGTTCCTATTTCTCCACATCCTCTCCAGCACCTGTTGTTCCCAGACTTTTTAATGATCACCATTCTAACTGGTGTGAGATGGTATCTCATTGTGGTTTTGATTTGCATTTCTCTGATGGCCAGTGATGGTGAGCATTTTTTCATGTGCCTGTTGGCTGCATAAATGTCTTCTTTTGAGAAGTGTCTGCTCATATCCTTTGCCCATTTTTGATGGAGTTGTTTGTTTTTTTTCTTGTAAATTTGTTTGAGTTCTTTGTACATTCTGGATGTCAGCCCTTTGTCAGATGAGTAGATTGCAAAAATTTTCTCCCATTCTGTAGGTTGCCTGTTCACTCTGATGGTAGTTTCTTTTGCTGTGCAGAAGCTCTTTAGTTTACTTAGATCCCATTTGTCAACTTTGGCTTTTGTTGCCATTGCTTTTGGTGTTTTAGACATGAAGTCCTTGCCCATGCCTATGTCCTGAATGGTATTGCCTAGGTTTTCTTCTAGGGTTTTTAGGTTTTAGGCCTAACATTTAAGTCTTTGATCCATCTTGAATTGATTTTTGTATAAGGTGTAAGGAAGGGATCCATTTTCAGCTTTCTACATACAGCTAGCCAGTTTTCCCAGCACCATTTATTAAATAGGGAATCCTTTCCCCATTGCTTGTTTTTGTCAGGTTTGTCAAAGATCAGATGGTTGTAGATATGTGGCATTATTTCTGAGGGCTCTGTTCTGTTCCATTGGTCTATATATCTGTTTTGGTACCAGTACCATGCTGTTTTGGTTACTGTAGCCTTGTAGTATAGTTTGAAGTCAGGTAGCACGATGCCTCCAGCTTTGTTCTTTTGGCTTAGGATTGTCTTGGCAATGTGGGCTCTTTTTTGGTTCCATATGAACTTTAAAGTAGTTTTTTTCCAATTCTGTGAAGAAAGTCATTGGTAGCTTGATGGGGATGGCATTGAATCTATAAACTACCTTGGGCAGTATGGCCATTTTCACAATATCGATTCTTCCTGTCCATGAGCATGGAATGTTCTTCCATTTTTTTGTGTCTTCTTTTATTTCGTTGAGCAGTGGACTGTAATTCTCCTTGAAGAGGTCCTTCACATCCCTTGTGAGTTGGATTCCTAGGTATTTTATTCTCTTTGAAGCAATTGTTTATGGGAGTTCACTCATGATTTGGCTCTCTGTTTGTCTGTTATTGGTGTATAACAATGCTTGTGATTTTTGCACATTGATTTTGTTTCCTGAGACTTTGCTGAAGTTGCTTATCAGCTTAAGGAGATTTTCGGCTGAGACGATGGGGTTTTCTAAATATACAATCATGTCATCTGCAAACAGGGACAATTTGACTTCCTCTTTTCCTAATTGAACGCCCTTTATTTCTTTCTCCTGCCTGATTGCTCTGGCCAGAACTTCTAACACTATGTTGAATAGGAGTGGTGAGAGAGGGCATCCCTGTCTTGTGCCAGTTTTCAAATGGAATGCATCCAGTTTTTGCCCATTCAGTATGATATTGACTGCGCATTTGTCATAAATAGCTCCTATTATTTTGAGATACGTCACATCAGTACCTAAATTATTGAGAGTTTTTAGCATGAAGGGCTGTTGAATTTTGTGAAAGGCCTTTTCAGCATCTATTGTGATAACCATGTGGTTTTTGTATTTGATTCTGATTATATGCTGGATTACATTTATTGATTTGCGTATGTTGAACCAGCCTTGCATCCCAGGGATGAAGCCTACTTGATCATGGTGGATAAGCTTTTTGATGTGCTTCTGGATTCGGTTTGCCAGTATTTTATTGAGGATTTTTGCATCAATGTTCATCAGGGATATTTGTCTAAAATTCTCTTTTTTTGGTGTGTCTCCGCCAGGCTTTGGTATCAGGATGCTGGTCTCATAAAATGAGTTAGGGAGGATTTCCTCTTTTTCTATTGATTGGAATAGTTTCAGAAGGAATGGTACTAGCTCTTCCTTATACCTCTGGTCGAATTCAGCTGTGAATCTGTCTGGTCCTGGACTTTTTTTGGTTGGTAGGCTATTAATTATTGCCTCAATTTCAGAGCCTGTTATTGGTCTATTCAGGGATTCAACTTCTTCCTGGTTTAGCCTTGGGAGGATGTATGTGTCGAAGAATTTATCCATTTCTTCTAGATTTTCTAGTTTATTTGTGTAGTTGTGTTTATAGTATTCTCTGATGGTAGTTGGTATTTCTGTGGGATCGGCGGTGATATCCCCTTTATCATTTTTTATTGCGTCTATTTGATTCTTTTCTCTTTTCGTCTTTATTAGTCTTGCTAGCAGTCTATCAATTTTGTTGATCTTTTCAAAAAAAAACCAGCGCCTGGATTCATTGCTTTTTTGAAGGGTATTTTGTGTCTCTATCTCCTTCAGTTCTGCTCTGATCTTAGTATTTCTTGCCTTCGGCTAGCTTTTGAATGTGTTTGCTCTTGCTTCTCTAGTTCTTTTAGTTGTGATGTTAGGGTGTCAATTTTAGATCTTTCCTTCTTTCTCTTGTGGGCATTTAGTGCTATAAATTTCCCTCTACACACTGCTTTGAATGTGTCCCAGAGATTCTGGTATGTTGTGTCTTTGTTCTCATTGATTTCAAAGAACATCTTTATTTCTGCCTTCATTTCATTATGTACCCAGTAGTCATTGAGGAGCAGATTGTTCAGTTTCCATGTCGTTGAGCGGTTGTGAGTGAGTTTCTTAATCCTGAGTTCTAGTTTGATTGCACTGTGGTCTGAGATACAGTTTATTATAATTTCTGTTCTTTTAAATTTGCTGAGGAGTGCTTTATTTTCAACTATGTGGTCAATTTTGGAATAAGTGTGATGTGGTGCTGAGAAGAATGTATATTCTGTTGATTTGGGGTGGAGAGCTCTGTAGATGTCTATTAGGTCCGCTTGGTGCAGAGCTGAGTTCAATTCCTGGATATCCTTGTTAATTTTCTGTCTTGTTGTTCTGTCTAATGTTGACAGTGGGGTGTTAAAGTGTCCCATTATTGTTGTGTGGGAGTCTAAGTCTCTTTGCAGGTCTCTAAGGACTTGCTTTGTGAATCTGGATGCTCCTGTATTGGGTGCATATATATTTAGGATAGTTAGCTCTTCTTGTTGAATTGATCCCTTTACCATTATGTAATGGCCTTCTTTGTCTCTTTTGATCTTGGTTGGTTTAAAGTCTGTTTTGTCAGAGACTAGGATTGCAACCCCTGCCTTTGTTTGCTTTCCATTTTCTTGGTAGATCTTCCTCCATCCCTTTATTTTGAACCTATGTATGTCTTTGCATGTGAGATGGGTCTCCTGAATACAGCACACTGGTGGGTCTTGACTCTTTATCCAATTTGCCAGTCTGTGTCTTTTAATTGGAGGATTTAGCCCATTTACATTTAAGGTTAATATCATTATGTGTTAATTTGATTCTGTCATTATGATGTTAGCTGGTTATTTTGCTCATTAGTTGATGCAGTTTCTTCCTAGCATCAATGGTCTTTACAATTTGGCCTGTTTTTGCAGTGGCTGGTACCAGTTGTTCCTTTCCATGTTTAGTGTTTCCTTCAGGAGCTCTTGTAGGGCAGGCCTGGTGGTGACAAAATCTCTCAGCGTTTGCTTGTCTGTAAAGGATTTTATTTCTCCTTCATGTATGAAGCTCAGTTTGGCTGGATATGAAATTCTGGGTTGAAAATTCTTTTCTTTAAGAATGTTGAATATTGGCCCCCACTCTCTTCTGGCTTGTAGAGTTTCTGCTGAGAGATCTGCTGTTAGTCTGATGGGCTTCCCTTTGTGGGTAACCCAACCTTTCTCTCTGGCTACCCTTAACATTTCTTCCTTCATTTCAACTTTGGTGAATCTGACAATTATGTGTCTTGGAGTTGCTCTTCTTGAGGAGTATCTTTGTGGTATTCTCTGTATTTCCTGAATTTGAATGTTGGCCTACCTTGCTAGGTTGGGGAAGTTCTCTTGGATAATATCCAGCAGAGTGTTTTCCAACTTGGTTCCATTCTCCCTGCCACTTTCAGGTACACCAATCAGATGTAGATTTGGTCTTTTCACATAGTCCCATATTTCTTGGACACTTTGTTCATTTCTTTTTACTCTTTTTTCTCTAAACTTCTCTTCTTGCTTCATTTCATTCATTTGATCTTCAATCACTGATACTGTTTCTTCCACTTGATCGAATCGGCTACTGAAGCTTGTGCATTTGTCACGTAGTTCTCGTGCCATAGTTTTCAGCTCCATCAGGTCATTTAAGGAATTCTCTACACTGGTTATTCTAGTTAGCCATTCGTCTAATATTTTTTCAAGGTTTTTACCTTCTTTGCGATGGGTTTGAACTTCCTCCTTTAGCTCGGAGAAGTTTGATCGTCTGAAAACTTTTTCTGTCAACTCATCAAAGTCATTCTCCATCCAGCTTTGTTCCATTGCTGGGAAGGAGCTGCATTCCTTTGCAGGGGGAGAGGCACTCTGATTTTTAGAGTTTTCAGCTCTTCTGCTCTGTTTTTTCCCCATCTTTGTGGTTTTATCTACGTTTGGTCTTTGATGATGGTGAGGTACAGATGGGTTTTTGGTGTGGATGTCCTATCTGTTTTTTAGTTTTCCTTCTAACAGTCAGGATCCACAGCTGCAGGTCTGTTGGAGTTTGCTGGAGGTCCACTCCAGACCCTGTTTGCCTGGGTATCAGCAGCAGAGGCTGCAGAACAGTGAATATTGCCGAACAGCAAATGTTGCTGCGTGATCATTCCTCTGGAAGCTACATCTCAGAGGGGTACCCGGCCGTGCAAGGTGTCAGTCTGACCCTACTTGGGGGTGCCTCCCAGTTAGGTTATTCGGGGGTCAGGGACCCACTTGAGGAGGCAGTCTGTCCGTTTTCCTATGCATATCATTCTTTAAAGTTTTTTGGGGATGTTGTAACCAAAGATATAAAAGGCAATTGTAATAAAAGAGTTGAAACAGATATATGTCAGCCAGAATTTGTACCTAGCCTTTTTCATTTTAGCAATTAATGTGGATATCACACTGCAGTTTTAATTGTTATTGTCCTTATGATTTCTTAGGTTGAGAACGTTTTCATATGTTTACAGTGCATTTAGCTTATTTTCTTTGTAAAATGTCTGCTCACATTCTTTTCCCGGTATTTCTAAAGTGATATATAATTTTTCTTATTGATTTGGTAAGTTTTTTATGTATTCTGGATAAGAGTTATTGGGAGTGTCAGGAGGCAGCCAAATACCTAGGCAAATAGGGAAGGGTCCCCTGGTGAAACCCCACCTCCAAGCTGAAGATAGTTTAAAGCCTGAAAGCCAAGGTACAAGTGAAATCCTCAGAAAGTATTGAAAATTTGTCTTTCTGTTTGGTGCACTTTTCTCTGATTGAGCCCCACCTTTCACCTATTTTACATATAACTACCTTTTCCTAATTGGTTTTCTACACTGTTATGCACACCTTTGAGTGGTGTCTTCTCTTTAACCATTTTTGCATACTCACAAACCAATCAGCACATAGTACACTGGCCCCAGACCCAGCTGCACAGGGAAATTTCCCAACTTTGAGAACAGGAAACAACCCCCATGTCCCTTCTTTGCAGAGAGCTTAATGCGAATCTGTTTCTGCAACCTCTATTATTTTCCATTTTCTAGTTTAAATATACTTTGAAAAACTTCACAGAGTCTGATAAATGATAGCTTTAAAAGAGCTCAAGTTTTGTTCTTCTCTAATTGCCTTGGCTATTCTTGGCTTTTTAATTTTTCCTTTAAGTTTTAAAAGCAGTTATCATTTACCAAGAATCCCTGCTACACTTTGTGATTGTGTTGAATCTCCAGATTAAATTTGGTGCGGTGAGTTACTATGTTAAAATTATGAGCTTTAAAATCAATAAACATGATGTAACTCTCCATTTATTGAGTTCTTCAATTACTTTCTTCTTCTTCTTCTTCTTTTTCCTTTGAGATGGAGTCTCACACTGTCACCCAGGCTGGAGTGTAGTGGCCCAGCCTTGGCTCACTGCAACCTCTGCCTCCTGGGTTCAAGCAATTCTCCTGCCTCAGCCTCCTGAGTAGCTGGGACTACAGGCGACTGCCAAGCCTGGGTAATTTTTGTATTTTTAATAGAGATGAGGTTTCATCATGTTGGCCAGGTTGGTCTTGAACTCCTGGCATCGTTATTCGCACGTCTCAGCCTCCCAAAGTGCTAGGATAACAGGTGTGAGCCACCACACCCAGCCAAGTTCTTCAATTACTTTCAATGAAGTTTTATAATTTAGGGCCTTCATTTAGAGGTCTTCTTGGAAATGTTGCATTTTATTTATATTTAGACACTTGTTACATTGAAACAATTTTTTTGTAACTTTAAAAAATTAATTTTATATGGCTACTATATAGAAATATAATTAATTTTTGAATATTGATTTTTATCCAATGACATTGATATATTCCGTTTGAATGGTATGAGACTTATTTCGATTTCAAGTGTGCAATTTGAAGTTAAGTCATCTGTGAAAAAAATTTATTTCTATTTTTATAACAACAATGCATTTTTTTCTTTCTTTTTATTTTCTGAGATTTCTAGTAAAATCTTGGATGATAGAGATGATATGGGATAAATTTTTTTTTCATTCCTGATTTTCATGGTGATAGTGAACATTTCTACTATTAGCAGGAATTTTTTAAGATTTTTTGTTTCATTTTGGTTTGTGATCATAGATATTGGTCTGTTTATATGCTCTATCATGTTGTGGGAGTCATTCTGTATCCTTAACATTAATATATTTTAAATTAAATTGACACACTTTTTAGAATCTATCAAGAGAATTATATATTTTTTTGCTTTAAGATATGAATGATATTTTAACTTTTAAACAGTTGATAGTATTGCTAGATTATATGTCAGCAATGTGCTGGGTGGAATTCCTCACTTACACAATATATCCTTTTTATATATTGGCACATATATTCTTTTATTTTAGGTATATATTCTTGAAGTAGAGTGTTTTTAATATTAGGATGACAGTTTTGCTGCCTTTATATTGTTTTTCTTCAGCTATTCCGATTGTACTTATATTGGATGTTTTTTACCTGCTTGTATATTAATCTTTTTATTGCTGAGAATATTTTAAAACTTCTCTTTCATTTCATTGGCTCTTTTTAATCTTATATTCTGTATTTCTTAATATGTCAATTATTTCTTCTCATATTCTTTTAGAATGTTAAAATTAGTATTTAACATATATAGGAACTGTCATCCAGGCCCAAAAAGTAATTTAGAATTATAAGGAAGTATGAACTCAATAACCTAAATTTAAGTTATAAAATAAAATTTGCTTTCAAAAGATAAGATGTTGATAAACTATGATGCATCAAAAAAGTCTGAGAGTAACTAAAAAGAAGAGCAGCTTCCCCTTTGCCTCTTGCATATAAGTTAGGCAAATAAGAGGAATAATTTTCAATGAATATGTAAGAGAAAGCCCTAGCAAATTAAAGGAAAACCTGGTTCCTAACTAGAAGAGAAGATATGGAAGGTTTCTAACACAAAGAAAAAATAAATATTTGAGGTGATTGATGTACCAATACCCATATTCGACTATTACATATTCTATGCATGTATCAAAAAAACATATACTCCATAAATATGTATAACTATTATGCATCAGTTAAAAAATTGGATTTTACAAGGTAAAATTAATTAATTAATTTAGGAAAAAGCTGAAGCAATTATAAAGGAAATGATTATTGGTTATCAGGTAATATAGAGAGGGCAAGAATAATGTGTATACTAATAGAAGTACTGGAGTAAAGTGGAATTAAGGAGAAAAACAAAAGGTCTGTACCCTAAATATGTCTACTGTGTCCTGGGTATCTCATTCCATGGTTTTACATCTTTGCTTTTTCAAAAATATAAATTATTTGAGGTATAAGGAATATTTGAAACCATTAATATTAATTTGTATTATAATGTGATTTTGCTTCATGTTGTTTTGAGAAAAAGCTTAAATATGAAATAAAAACTATGATGGGAAATTGTACAAGACTGATATTCTAGATTAACCTTTATCTTGCATTAACTAAAAAACTTCTATGTTCTTCCATGCAGAAATACACACAATCCATTATTTTATTCAAAATTAACTATCAATTGAGTATTTGCTGTTTTCTTTGTTTGCCATCCCAACCCAGGACTACTTTAAATGTTTGTACAATTTAATTCTCACTAAGTGATTATTACTTGGTTTAAGCTATTATCTGTTCCTGTTAAATCACTCTATTTATGCCCCTAAAATAGAAGGCTGACAAATGATAACATTGAACCTATCAATTCTAATCACCTCCTTCAGAGACAGCTTTCTTTTGCTTAGGGGTGACTGCAAAATACAATAAAGGGGTCAGCATTTTATCACCCAGAAAGGAATGACAGCTAAAGTCATCCAAGTACACATAAATGAACACAGAGGTATCCTAACAACTTAACATGAGTTAGTCATATGCCTCCCACTCATATTCAAAAAGGAAAGTATCCAAATGTAGCCCCATGGAGACACATCCAGATGCAGAGACATTTGTAGAAAGTTATTTGGAAAATATTTATCCTCAGCAGCCTATATGTGAGTATTTTTTCACAAAACTGGGGCTAAGGCATCATTCACATGAAGGTCCAAACACAGAGAAGATTAAGGTAATAGGCTTTATTATTAATTAGAAGTTAACTTCCCATTCATTCCCCAACATAACACTTCCAATACCCCAATGTAAGGGTATTGGGGAAACATCTAAGTTACGTTTTTCTAAGCTGTAAATTGTGAATAAATACAGTATCTTGATAGGATTTTGTAAGGATTAAATGACATGAAAGAGCAACAATGATAACACCGACACCTAATGGGTCTTCAACCAAGGTGAATTTCTTTCCTGTACTATTTTTTTAAGCAATCTGTTGTTACATCATGACTTGTGAAAACTAACATCTCTGTGCAATAAACAAATGCAATCTCAGAAGTAATTATAAGAAAACATCACCCTACTAACCAGCAAGAAGTTATATATATTTAATGCTATGTTTTAAATGATAAAGTAAGAAAGTAAAAATTTCTTTTAAGTATATTTGTTTTGTAGAGCTTATATTTTCTTTTTAGAATGTATGTCTCATAATGTCTTTATGATAGTGGATAAACATGTATGATTTATAAATAAATACATATATGCATAGTGTAAATATATGCTAAAATTTTATTTTACTGGCATGAATGTAATAAAACATTTGGGGATCACTAGTCAGTATACTCAAACTTGCATAAACTTTGGTAGTTTGTGTGATGTCATGCATAGATGTTTATAATAGAGTGAATTATAATTGCCAAATCTCTTTGTGTAAATAGAAAGTATTTCATAAATGACTGAGAAAGCTATTTATGAAAAATAAATTAATTAATAAAAGGACACCTCCCTCAAAAATTATTCCTGCCCAAATACGGTTAAACTGCTGTCAAAGAGGGCACTGAAAAGATTGCTCCAGAGTGGGAATGAGAGGTATGTTCTAAAAAATAGTAAAACTATTTGAAAGTGAGCATTTTTTTTCAGTTCGCATCCTTGCCATATAAATTAAAGAATATAAATTAAGAATAATAGCTAACCTGCAGGCAAATGTTAGCAATAATCTCATGTCAATACTGCACAGTTTCCCCACTCTTACTTTGAATCCTGTTTAACAAATTATTATATTTTGAAGAATTTGTTCTTTGGAAAGACAGAAAAATAATATATTTATTTTGCTTTACAGAATCAAAAAAGTATTGCATTAAAATAGAAAGTAATAAGTATATAAAAGTTAAAAATATATGATTTTCCTAATATTACTTTTTGATTTCTCTCCAGAAAACATGTGCAGCAAATGATTTTATTCTCTGTGTCTCATGAGATATAGCAAGTCTCCAAACCAAAGTTGTGCCAAAATAGCTAAATAAATAAAATAAAAGCAGTACATTTTCTTTAGATTTATAAGACATAAATACCATCATAACATAGTATAACCGATAAAGAGGAAAACAGTAAAAGCAGCAATTGTATTTTCTTTAATTATCTTGAGCGAAAATAATTTCTTTACTTTTTATATTCCTCATGTTGAATACCCTGTGACATTTAAAATGGCCAAATTTGCACATTTTTTCCAAGTTTCATAGAATATTTTTGGTAGTCTGAAACTTGTTCTTCCATCAGTTATAGTTCCAGCAGCATAGGTAGATATCTTGCTTTCAGAAATGCGAAGCAACCCGTATTATGCACAATCTTAAAAACAGTTTGAGACTACATTATTTCTATGTCCAAAGACAGATAGGAATAGTACAAATGTTAATATCATAATTATTTATGCTTCCAAATAATTTCTGTTTAGCTTAATATAGGTTAGTCATAATAATAATAGTATTGTGCTAAGTGGGCTTAGACTCAGAACCTGCATCACTAACAACACATGGTGTAAGTGTAAAAATGCCATCATTGGGGAAAATATGTGCAGGGAAGTAGCAGAGCACAGATGTTCCTCTAGTTCTCATGATATCATGGAAGGAATGCTCAGTCACACATACTATGTGTGTCATGGAATAGGCTTTAGAAGAGGGTCCTTGTCCCATGAAGTTTCAGTAACTGTTAGGGAGACTGTCAACATTGACCATGTATCAGATAGATAAACATGCTTGGTCAAGAAAATGCCCTGATTAAAGAAGGTGAGGCTCCTGAGCATAGAAAAATCTCATTCTTTTTTTCAATTAATTTAATGGGAATGAGGCTTCATTCAGGGTTTGTCTCTCTCAAAGCAGCTATTCTTAAGTGATGCTATCTTAAATACCTAATACACAAATGCTATCAAGCCAATTATAAACAATTTACAGAGTATTCTAAAGATGTTTTTAAGATTAGGAGTAAAAGCTCATCATATAGACAATTCTCTTTTTGCTTTTATACCTATCTTCATATGCTAAGATAGTATATTGGAAAATATAATCAAAGAAAATGTATATTCCTACATTTATAATAAACCATATCTGATATTTATAACTTTAAAAATAAATGTATTTATTTTGTCTGTCCAAGTTTTACTTTTATCAGAAATGAAGAAACAATGACATCATCTTTGTAAAACTTTTTACGTTTGGTTGTTTATATTTTTTTCTTACAATTCCTTCAGTCTAAACATACATTGGATACCCTTATTTCTTTTCTTTTTTTTTTCTGTATTTTTTTTTTTTAGTACAGACGGGATTTCAGCATGTTGATCAGGCTGGTCTCGAACTCCTGACCTCATGATCTGCCTGCCTTGGCCTCCCAAAGTGCTGGGATTACAGCCTGAGCCAATGTGTCCGTCCTGGATACTCTTATTTCTTAAAGACAAGATCTAAATTATATAAACATTTATGTAAGTATGAAAACCAAAGCAATTTAAATTATTTAAAGTTTTAAGTTACAATGTATTATGTATTAATTTGCCGAACAGTTAAGCCATGTTTTGAAAGTCTTTGGACATCAATTTGGTTCACTTTGTTTGCCTGTTAACTTACTGTGAATATACATGATTAAATAATTAATACTAACCCTCATGAAACAATTATTGTGATGAAAGTAGCCTTTTTGTATCATTTGTATTAAAAGTATTGCTAAAGTTTATAGCCTGGGAAACATGGTGAAACCCTGCCTCTATAAAAAAATTAAAACTTAGTCATGCATGGTGGCATGTGCCTGGAGTCCCAGCTACTTAGCAGGCTGAGGTTGGAGGATCACCTGAGCCCAGGAGGCCGACACTGCAGTGAGCTGTGATTGTGCCACTACACTCCAGTCTGGGTGATGAAGTGAGACCCTGTCTTAAATAAATAAATAAATAAATAAATAAAGTATTGCTAAAGTTTAGAAACTATACATGTTGATCAGTAAAAGCAAAATATTCAAAATTTAAGAGAAAAAAAGCTACATTTCAAAAATAAATAAAAATACTATGGATTTATTCTCACAATATTTATACTCAAGTATTTAAACTTTAAACTTTCTACTTTTTTTTGCAAATCACCACCTAAATGATCATTCAAAAATCAGAAGTGTAGATAGACTTTTATTTATGTTGTGTTCTTGAATAAAAATATTTTAAAATAATAAAATTAAATAAAAAGTTGTTTGTTCTCAGAAAGGCAGTTAATTTTTAAGATCTTAATAATGTATTACTGTAGTGCACTGAATAGTGCCCCTCAAACCGTGTCCACTCAGAACCTGAGAATGTGGCATTATTTGGAAATAAGGGTCTTTTGTGGGTGTTATTAAAGATATCGAAATAAAATCATCCTGGAAATAAGATGGGTCATAAATTAATGATTAATGTTTTTATAAGAGAAATGAGAGGAAAATTTAGACACAGAAACACAGATATACTGATTAAAAAGCTATGAGAATACAGGAGTAGCCATTGGATTGATGCAAATATGTAAGGCAGGGAGCGCTAAGGATACCCACAGCCACATAGAGCTATAAGTGGGGCAGGAAGCACATTCTCCCTCAGAGCTTTCACAAGCAACAAACTTTGCTGACTTAATTTCAGACTTCTGGCCTCCCAGACTGTGAGAGAATAAATTTCTGTTGTTTTAACCCAGCCGGGTTGCAGTAATTTGTTATAACAGTCTTACAAATCTAATATAATTAACTACCTGATACACCGTTTCCTTTAATACTTCTCTACTTGATACCTCCCCTTGCCTTGTCAATTTTTTAACAAATTAAATATCTACTATGTACACCATTGTCATTAGGATTTTCTACTGCCAATTTACTGTCTTTTGGTGGTTGAGGTATAATTATTCATTTTAGAATTAACGGTTTCCTCAGTGAAAATAAAAATCTATAATTTTAATTTTTAAAAATTGTTTATTCATATGAATTTTATTAAAAGAAGTTAAAATAATAAAATATCATTTGCTTAGTATTATTACTTTTAATTATATAAAAGATAGTTGCTCATATTAAAGCATATAAAACATTAAAAATATAACAAATAAAATTAAAATCTCCCAGAATGTTAACTGCCAGAGATAACCACAGTTTAAAATCAGAAGTTTAGAGAAAAAGATAACAAATAGCTAGATAAATGATAAATAGATATATAGTTAGATTCAGTTTATATTCCAGCTATTATTCTTTCAAATATGGGATCACCTGCTGTAGTTGGTGGGAACAAGATGTCTCCATGTTCTGGGGGATTCAGTCCACCTTATTTCATTGAATGCCAATGCAGCCATGAAATTGGTGATTCTTCCTGCAGGTTACTCACAAGAGAATACAGAAGTTGCTTCTCCTAATGGCTAGTGATTATATCATTACTTCCAACCACAAGTATATGTGTATACATTAGCCTCTGATCTAGTGGTCAAGGTAGACTGAAATTCTGCCATTATTTTTAACCATTTGTTCTTTTGACTATTCATGAAGATAGGTAACAGGAATGAGCAGTTATGAACATGTATCTCTCACCTACCAATTTTTCTGACTTTTCAGCTCTAACATATCTATGCCATTTTTAAACATTTTTTAATCTCAAAAATAACATATATTTGGTCTGCTGAAGTAATTTTTAATGTTAAATAAGGAAAAAGTGATACTCTAATAAATATTATAGTTTGTTACAATCTGAAATTTAAAACCAGATTATACTAATGCTGATACTATTATACATTTTCCATTCTAAAGATTTGTTTTGATATTTGCATTCTTTTTTTGGAATTACAACATAGAAATCATCTAACTGATTTTTATATTAACCAAATTTTATATTCAATATTTTTTGATTCATAAATTATAATCCAATGTTCATGTACTTGGATAATGCTTTCAAATATTTCCACCAAAAGCAGTAAGACTAATTTTCTGATTTCTTATCAGCTAAGAAATTTTTTTTTGTGGCAATAATATTAGAAAAGTAACAGTTTCATTTCCACAAAACAAGGATATTTCTCCTTGGTCTTCAAGCATTAACTATGAGAAAAAAATGTTATTTATTTTGAAGTAAGGAGGTGTTAATATTTTTTCTCCCAAATGGTTAGGTATTTTTAATTTTAACCATTTTACTAGAATAAAAAATGTGCAATTAAAAGTACTCAATATTGAATTATACCAAATGTTTAAACATTTACACAGGTAAATATTACACAATCAATATATAAAATTCACCACCATAAAGTTCCCCATGCCAATATTCAGTCAATTCTTCTACCCTAGGCCAAAGTGATCACTGACATGCTTTCTGTTACTATGCCTCTTCTGAACTTTCATATAAATGGAATAATACAGTCAGTACAATATCATGTCTGGCTTTTCTTGCTGAACATTCTGTTGCCATTTGAGTTTGCTTGAAGTTTTTTTTTTTTTTACTCATTTTCCTTCTTTGCTCAGCTTGCTCTCCTGGCTTCATGTTATTACCTTGTACATCTATCATGCTATTGTATCTCCTGCATGAGCACTTCTTAACCTTAATTTTTTTCAATATCTCAAACTAAATTTTTATTTTTTTATGTTTCTGGTTTCTGTAGCAACTACATATTTCACAGATGCTCTGTTATTTATCTTTCAAGATCATATTTATGTTTCTTTATTCTGTAATGCTTATCTCTTTATTTTCACCAAGATGTAATGTTAGTTCAAAATAAGACATAATCATATTTGATCATTGTTAATACACTACATCTCTGCCTTTAATTTGTGCCTACACTGAGCCCAATTAGACACTGGTGAAATCTTCTGTATCTGAATAGTTGGTGGTTATTTACCTTTTATAATCAAATTTCTATTGTTACCATGCCTTCTGGTGGAACACTTCTAACAAATTACGGGGAAATGAGTATCTCCATAAATTCATCTAGCAATATTCTTACTTTTGTTTCAATACCTAGCAATTAAATTTCAGAAGATATGCCCACCCCAAAAGTATACGTTCTTGCCTGTCTTCCAATTCCTAATTCCTTCTAGTTCTCCCTTTGACTAAAGTCTAAATCTAGGAAACACAAAGCTGAGTTATATAACACAGGAATTGACTTAACAACAACCAAAAAAAATGAAAAATGTTCCAAGTGAAGAAGAATGGTTGTTTTATGGTTTTACAGATAATGAGAAAAGCCTGTGTTGCCTTTCACCTTATCAGATCAAAATTATTCTACGGAGAGTAAAATACTTACCTTTATCCTCCAGTTTTATCACCCTCCAACTTAGCAGTAATTCCTTTCAGATAATAACAATATATCACTTGTCTGTTTCTACACTGTTGAGTATTTTATTATTTTATTTTTTAATAGGTAATATGGAATGATTTGGCATAAACTATTGATGTCGGACTTTTTGTTCCTTAGTTCAGCTAAATCTGAGTTCTTGTCTCATGACCAAGAAAAATTAGGAACATGGACTCATTGAAAGGTAAGGAGGGCAGAATTGATTACATGAAAGGAAAGCTCTCAGCAAAAAAAGAGGGGTCCTGCACACAGATTTCTACCTCACAAATTGAATACCAGGCCACCACACATGAGTTGAAGAGGCCCAGCTCCTCCCGTGTAATGTGCGAATTCCTGGTGGCTCCACCTCATCCTCCCAGTGCATGTGGGCCTCCAGTACATTGCTGGCATGCCCAGTAAGACCCTGTGCAGGTTCCCTCATCTGCACAAAAACATCAGGTCTAAATACTTATGGGGTGAGCCAGAGATTCTCTGGGGTCCCTTCACTATTTGCCTAGGCATTTGTCTGTCTTTTGCTTCTATCACTATGACAGGGTTTATATTTGGATCACATTTCCAATAGCAGACAATGGGGTATTTTAAAATATATATTAAATTTACTACTTACCAAGATGTAATATTTTCCCTACAATGATCATAAAGCAGTAGTCGCAACTCGTATTTTCTACTATATATTAGCAGTAATCAAAATGAGAAAAATATGATCAAAGAAACGGGTACAAAGAAAAAGTTGTTAAAGATGTTAAAAATATAGGGTATATTTTACAAAGGTATACAGTAATTACAGGTGATTCAAAAATATTAATTTATATATGTTTAATAGTGTATTAAATATTTGAAACACAAGCATGTTTGGGAAACAATATTTTCTTAAACTGGAGCTCAAATATATCTCTTTTTTCTGCATCTGGTTATTTTTTCTTTCTGGAATCTGTTGTTTTGCTCTTGGACTTCTCTTAATTTCTCTATCCCAACTAAGTTAACTTTCATATAAATCTTAGATATATTTTGAAGCAGCAAAATGCCCCCCCATTCTGTTTTAATATATATAATGCTTTTATTTCTATATGGGCATCATTAGACTCTATTAAGTAAAATTTAACCAATAAAATCTGTAATAGCACAAAGTAAGAGAAGAAGTACAGAAAACTCATTCTATCCATTCCAAGCCAAATGGATTATTGAATCTTTCTTATTTGAGTATCTCAAATACAGTTGTTATTTCTTGATAATGGTGTTGAATTATGAGCACAAAGTTATTTTTAAATCTAAATAAAAAATACAAATTAATCTTATACCAAACACTACAATTTATTGTTACTAATCAAAACATAATTTTGAAAAGCAAGTATTAAAAGGTATTTTGAAGTAATAGGGAGCAGTTAATGTTCTGCTTCTGTTTGTTTTAATATAGATACAACGAATAAAATAACGCAACCTCAAATACTCATTTGTATGCAAAAATATTATTTGTATGCAAACACCATTCTTGATTAGAGTGATTTCTTCAGCAGCAGAGTTTGAAGCAATTTTCAATTAACCCTTCAAAAAAGTAAAATTCAAAATAAACTTTTAGTACATATTAAGAAAATATAGTTGCTACTTTGAAGTAGAAGAGCTGAAGTGATTTAAAAAATAACTTAAAGAAAATGTGAAAGGAAAATAAATATCAGGATCCCAATCTTACTAAGGCAAAGAGAAAAATCAAGCTGGGAACTTGGTTATACACACCCACCTCTCACTTTGTTCTTAATAAGATAGGTTCAAAGACAGAAAAGCTACATACCTCCCTCACAACTTGCCCTCAAAGAAATTCCTTGTGGGCCCCAGATCTTTACCCTAAAATAGTTCTGTTTTACTTTACCCTGACAATCTAAATTGATAGTTTATCTTCACATGTAAGGGACAAAGGACAAAACTAAAAAGTCGTTCCAATGCTCCCCTGAGACAAATGAATATTTAACTGCTTCCTCTAACCTATGTTTATTTTTACTTGTAATAATGCAGCTTCACTGAGCATGAGACAAAT
Organism: Homo sapiens; assembly: GCF_000001405.40. Lineage (NCBI taxonomy): Eukaryota > Metazoa > Chordata > Mammalia > Primates > Hominidae > Homo > Homo sapiens. The sequence continues at coordinate 194,086,336 of NC_000002.12, forward strand.
GCATGTTACTGTTTCTGTACCCACCCTCATATGTAAAATGTGTATTCAGTGAACACTGACCAAAGACTCAAAAGAATGCAACCTGTTGCCTCTTATCTACCTACCCTCTTCTTGTTTTTTTTTTTTGTTGTTTTGTTGTTGTTGTTGTTTTTAGTTTTATTTTAGGTACATGTGAAGGTCTGTTACATAGGTAAACGTGTGTCACAGAGGTTTTTTGTACAAATTATTTTATCACCCAAATAGTAAGCCCAGTACCCAACAGTTATATTTTCTGCTCCTCTCCCTCCTCCCACCCTCCCACCTCAAGTAGACCCCAGTGCTGTCGTTTCCTTCCTTATGTTCATAAGTTCTTATCATTTGGCTCCTACTAATAAGCAATAATGCAGGCACAAGATACCTACCTTATTCTTTCTTTCTCCTCCTTCCCAGTACCTGCTCTTTTCTCTTTAACTATGGAGGTCCCCAGATCCTCTTCAGAAAAAACACACCCACCAATTTTTCTTGTGGTTCTGTGTTCTTTTCCTGGGCACGTCCTTACCCTTAGCAAATAAAACTTTTAAAATGATTGGGGCTTAAATCCGTCATTGTCTTTGATTTACAACACAAAGTAAAATTTGATTTTCTTTTTTTTTCTAAAAGACAACATGAGAAATTCAATGTTACTGTATTTAGCAGTACTTTTTGTATATGTGCATGAAGCAATTTCTTTTTTTTGCTCATCAGTGATGGAAATATTAGAGAACTGTTAAATTAAGTTTAGCTTAAAACTGCATCCTTATATATTTTAAATTTGACCTAGTGGTTTCTCTGTACATAATAAGCTGTAACCCAACTTCATGTGTAAACAGACTGTAACCTACTCTTGTAACAAGCAGCCCAACTTCAGCCAATCAAAGCAGCCAAACTTCTGTCAATCACAGGCAGCCAACTGTTCAAACCAGGTTCAAATCAGGCAAATTCCCAGCTGTAACCAATCCAGCTGTTTGTGTACCTCACTTCCATTTTCTGCACATCACTTTCTTTTTCTGTTCATAAATGTTAACTGACCATGTGGTAGCCCTGGAGTAGCTCTGAACCTATTCTGGTTCTGGGGGCTGCCTGATTTGCAAATCATTCTTTGCTCAATTAAACTCTGTTGAATTTAATTTGTCTACAGTTTTTCTTTTAACAGTTGGCCTCAGAAGTGGGATCTGAAGTAGGGCTTCCAGCAACCCCCAAGTGATGAAGTAAGGAGCTTGCCAGACCCATGTGTCCATTACTCTCACAGCAACTGGGAATTAGGGGTAACTTCTTTCTTGGATTTAAAAGCTCCATGGATTTGAGTTTTGAGCTATCTGAGTTTGTTTGAGCACATTTTTGATACAGACTGGGTTTGAAAATCACAACAGGAGCTGGACGGGATCCAGGATTGAATTAAATCTGACAATTAACTGGATTCAATCCAGCTAGAGGCCTCACATATCTGACTGAGTCAGACAGAAACTTAAGAGTAAACAGCAATTACTGCAGGGGGTTTGAACTCCAGATTTCGGAAATTTGTAGGGATATTGTTTTCCACTCCCTTTGTTTCTTTTTCTTGCTCACTTGAGTAGGGGGAAAAAATTGACTAATTTGATCAAGTGGATCTCAGAGCCAAAGCCAAGTTTAAACATAAAAATGAGATATTAATTTCTGAAGAACTGGGTACTCCACCTTCCAGCTACACCTACCTTTACATGCATAAGTATTAGGCCCCTAAAGCAGCAAATATTTACAAAATGACAAAATCGAATTAAAGAGATCTTGAAATTATAATGGAATGTTTGAAATAAACAACACTTCACTTTAAGAAGTGCATTTAAAAATAAGGGCTTCTGAATTAGGCTCACCCAGGGACGTCTATTGATGTGCAGAAGCTTCTAAAAAGATTTTAATATTCATATTGCTTCTTTTAAAAGACTCTTCCAAAAGGCAAAGAAAAGCTTAAGTAATTAATCGATAAGAAAAATTGTATCTGCTAACTTTTTGCCTTAGTTATTAAACCCTCCTGCCCCCACCCACCGGGAAAATAAAACTGGATAAAATATTTATAAAAAAGTAGGCTCTTTGATAAAGTAAGCTTTCTTTTTTTTCCACAGTGGCTAATACTAAGTCCAGGCAGAGGAAATGCTTTCTTTGCCCTATTCCTTAAAAGGTCCTGCCTAGAACGCAGTAGTTTTTGTTAAACAACAAAAGCTAAATTTAAAAATGCCTTATATTAAACTTAATTGGTCACCAAAACATACCTTTCTGGCACTTAACTAGCTATCTTGAAACCCTTTTGTAAATGCAGTTTACATCTATGAAGGTAATCTCCTTTTGTGAGGATGTCTGCCTTTGTGCACCTGGAAGAGAGGGAGCACTGGGTCACTAGAAACTTATATAATGGAAAAAAATATTAGTTTAAAATTACAAAGCATTACCTTTGTCTAAAGTGATTTTCTTGGCTATCTTAATTGGGTCTTTACCTACATTCTCTTTCCTTGGTTTGGGCAAATGATGCAATTTAGGCCTGAAGTAGTAAATGAGTTTGGGGAAAGATAAATGGGCCCTCAGAAAACAGGGTGGTGGTTTATGAAAAGGTTTGTCTGGGTGTGATGAAGTATCTTTTCTTGTGATAAAAGAAAAGGTTGCTGGAACTCCTTGAAGACAGAATTGATGACAATTGAGCTCCTTTGGAAAAATCTGTCTTTACACAGATAAGGAGAATTCAAAGAGCCTGGCTCTACTTACCTGTTGGTAGCAATAATATACCAAAGTGACTATATTCTAGCATGTATTCAGCAAAACTACATTTTTGCATGCTATTTCTTAATCTTCTTCAATGACTAGCTTTATTAAGTAAGCAATCCAAGCATAATTGATAAGAATGTTTAAATTAGGTAAAGGTAAATGGCAGAAAAGTTTATAAATGAATTTGTCATAGTCTCAAACATTTTTTTCAGCAATTTAAAATCTTAAAGTTACGTTAAATAGTACTTACTAAATGTCTGAGTAATTTCTAAGTACGAAAACATTAACTAGCAAGCATAAACCTAAATACATTAACAAATTGTTTTTACATGATATGAATAAGACAAATATATTTGCATGTGCTCAGAAACATAAAAAATTGAGGAAACATTCTTCTGAAATCATAAAATGATTTTATCTGTAAATACTGCTATAACATAGTTTAAAATTGCTTACTTCCTAGTTTAATACTGAACATTGAAATTACTTAAAGTTAAAATTGTCATTAATGTATATAATTAAAACTGTGTCTGGAATTGGTGGGTTCTTAGTCTTGCTGACTTCCAAAATGAAGCTGTGGACCCTTGCGGTGAGTGATACAGTTCTTAAAGATGGTATGTCCGGAATTTGTTCCTTCTGATGTTCAGCTGTGTCCGGAGTGTCTTCCTTCTGGTGGGTTCATGGTCTTGCAGGTTTCAGGAGTGAAGCTGCAGACCTTCGTGGTGAGTATTACAGCTCTTAAAGGCAGCGCGTCTGGAGTTGTTCGTTCTTTCTGTCTGGAGTTGTTCGTTCTTTCTGTCTGGAGTTGTCTGTCCCTCCCGGTGGGTTCCTCGTCTCGCTGGCTTCAGGAGTGAAGCTGCAGACTTTCGCAGTGAGGGTTACAGCTCATAAAGTTGGCCTGGACACAAAGAGTGAGCAGCAGCAACATTTTTTGTGAAGAGCGAAAGAATAAAGCTTCCACAGCATGGAAAGGGACCCCAGCAGTTCGCCGCTGCTGCCTCTGGCAGCCTGCGTTTATTCCCTTATCTGACCCCACCCACATCCTGCTGATCCGTCCATTTTACAGAGAGCTGTTTGGTCCATTTTAGAGAGAGCTGATTGGTCTGTTTTGACAGGGTGCTGATTGGTGCATCCACAAACCCTGAGCTAGACACACAGTGCTGATTGGTGCATACACAATCCTCCAGCTAGACATAAAAGTTCTCCAAGACCCCACACGACTCAGGAGCCCAGCTGGTTTCGCCTAGTGGATCCAGCGCTAGGGCCGTAGGCAGAGCTGCCCGCCAGTCCTGTGCTGTGTGCCTGCACTCCTCAGCCCTTGGGTGGTCAATGGGACCGGGGGCCATGGCAGAGCAGGGGGCGACACCTCTTGGGGAGGCTCAGGCCATGCGGGAGCCCACCCTGGGGTGGGGCTCAGGCGTGGCAGGCTCAGGTTCTGAGCCCTGCCTTATGGGGAGGCAGCTGAGGCCCAGCAAGAATTTGAGCGCAGCAGTGCGGATGGGCTGGCAGTGCCAGGGGACACAGCGAACCCTCTGCAGCTGCTGGCCCGGGTGCTAAGCCCTTCACTGCCCAGGACCGGTGGTGCCGGCCTGCCCTCCCAGTGCAGGTCCCGCGGAGCCCGCGCCAAGCGGAACCCGTGCTGGCCTGCCAGCACCATGCGCAGCCTCGGTTCCCGCCCACGCATCTCCCTCCACACCTCCCCGCAAGCCTAGGTAGCCGGCTCAGGCCTCAACCAGTCCAGAGAAGGGCTCCCATAGTGCAGCGGCGGGCTGAAAGGCTCCTCAAGCTGGCCAAAGCAGACGCTGAGGCCGAGGAGGCGCTGAGAGTGAGTGAGGGCTGCTAACATGTTGTCACCTCTCAAAACTACTAAAAATAAAGGAAAATTTTGTATGTAAATTTCACAGAAAGAGCAAGATATGTTTTTGGTGAGAAAGTTTGTAAAGAAGACATAAAAATGTGATTTTTCTTAAAAGAAAAAATTTATCTAGTTTAAAGGTTATTTAAATGTTTCAAAATGAAGAAATAAAGAAAAAGTAATGTAAAGTTAAGTGGATATAAAAATAAATTTAAAAAAAGAGTAATATAAGCCAGGCACAGTGGCTAATGCCTATAATCCCAGCACTTTTAGAGGCCAAGGTAAGAAGATTGCTTGAGGCCAGGAGTTCAAGACCAGCCTGGGCAACATAGACTCTGTCTCAATAAATAAATAAGTAAATAAATAAATATCTTGTATGGTTAAACTAAGATTAAGTGAATTTATTATAAGGGCTTTTAAAATTGATCCTTAGTATCAAAAGTATACTAGTACAAAACCAAAATTTGGTTTTCTATTTTAAATAAGATTTGTATGTAGTGTTAATAAGAGATAGTAAAAGGTGTATTTCAACTTCTGAGTAAATTGCAAAAAAATAAAAGTAAAAAGAGAGAGGGGAGAAAGAAACAGATGTTGGGTGCCTCCTGCTGTCTTTATTAGGTCTTCTGATTATTTGGGAAACTGAGTCTACTGTCTCTCAAAGAGTAAAGGTTTTTGCTTTTTAAAGTCTTTTAATCACTTTGGCTAAACGAATGACTGTATTTTACAGTGATCTGAGATCCTGTTTTGATCAAGTATTTGAAACCTTTGACATATTTGACGGGCTTCCCAAAATCAAATTTCAAAATGGAAATTAAGTCTTTTCGACTTCAAAGTAAACTTTGGGATGTTCCAGGGGGCTCCTAAAACATATAAAAGATAATAAACTTATCTAATATGTTAAATTATATTACATTATATTAGAAGCACTATAAAATTAAAAAATTATCTTTTTTGAGTATGGATATGCTATTAATTTCTATTTCAAAATTGTATGAAGTTCTTAAAAAGGTTGATATGTCTTGGTATATATTATCTGTCATAGTTATGCTGAATTATTATAGGCCACAGAAATAACCAAATTTTCTTGTCAATTGCATTATTAACCATGGCCATTGTTAAGTGTTGTCTACAATTAATTGCTTAATTCTGATGCTTTTTCTGAAATATCTTTACAAGCAATTATAATCCTAATGTGCTGTGTCTTCAAGAAGTTTCAGGGAAAGGATGGAAATGTCTCTGACAAGTACAGGTTTCTAAAAACCTTGATATCATACCACTGGGCTGAATAAGAATTCCTAGAAATCTATTAAAGAGAATGGCTGGTTTATAAAACTCCTAATCCAAGCATTTCAATAGTTAATTAAATGCCAAGGAAATACTTTAGGAGATTTTCATGCTAAATCAGCCAGTACTAAAATTATTCAGATATACAATTTTAATAATTTCCATAATCCAAGTCAAATTACATATGATAGCCCATTTAATAAACAGTGCTATGAAGCTGAATTGCATGAAAAAATAATATTTAAGAGGATATGAATCCAATATTGTGGATTTTTGGGACCCCAAATGGCCACCTGTTCTTTCCTGAATTCTTAAAACAGTCCTTAAAGCTTCTATTATTAAAATCTCTGCACTCCATGACTCATCATGCAAATGAAAAAATAATCCCAATTATTTTTTTAAAAAGTGGTGTGGAGACTGTTCTAAAATTGCTAAAATCGTTTATAACCAATATTTGGTTTGTCAAACCCATAATCCTGAAAAGAAAATAAAAACTTCTGGTAGATTTATGCTATCCGATGGGCCATTTAAACATTTACAGAGGAATTTCATTCAATTACCATTGTCAATGCATATTTTCAGGTTATATAGAAGCTTTCTTATGCAAGAATGCTGGGGTCTGTCCCACAGACCCTGACCCAACGGTGGGTGAATGAAGTACACTGACATACAGATATTCTGCTTTGGCAGTTTGGCTGAGCGTCCAGGCCACTTACAGACTCCCAAGCAGAGTGCTGTAAACAGTTGTGACTGTGGCCTCGACCAGCTAGTGAGACTCCCATTTATTCAGTAAATATTAATTGACAAAGGCTTGAGTCAATACCACTAGAGGGTAATTGACACTGTGGACTTCCTGAGTAGAAAGAAATTAAGCACCTGCAGTAAATCAAATGTTATTCTTGGGACCACATGAGTAAACAAGCTAGTTAGATAAACTCCCTACATTCCTTTGTTTCTACTCTAATTTATTTAACTAAGGGGACAAGGCTGCCTTCAGCCAAGATTATCCCGGTAGCTTATGCAAACTCCCCAGGCCTTCCAAGAAGGTTTCATCTTATCATTTTCCCAACCATCCTGACTGAACCCCCACACAAGAAGGCTGAGGCTAAAATAGCTGAAAGTTAGTAGAAAGTGTGCCTGCCTCATGGTGCATTCCTGGAGAAATCTCAAGTTGTAGAGGTGTTTGTTTCACTGAACAACTTGTAAAACAGTTAAGTTATTATAGCTATAATAACATTAGACAAAGCTGTCTGCATCAACTGGATTCCATTGATTGAAGGTGTTACAGATTTATGACAGTCAATACCATTTCCAGTGAAAAACGTAAGTTTACCCCTTTTGAAATAATCACTGCAATGCATATGCTGGTAATAATGGAACTTCAGGTATCTCCTGCTTTCCTAAACTGATATGAATAAGTACTACAAGGCTTTAATGCATCATGCCAAATTGTGTTTTCACCAGATGAAGAAAGATTTTTAGTGATTCACTAACTGAGGACAATCAAACTCTTCATGATCTAGAACCCAAAGTTTGAGTCTTCTGGAAATGTCATCAGAAAAAAACATCCCCTTGCCACTCACACTTCAGCAAAACTTTCATACTTCAAACCTTGGATCCGCATCTCAAACTCAAAACGGCCTCTCCAGGTGTTGGGAACTGTACACCTATTGGAGACCTTAAGCTAAATCTAACCAGGGAAATTCCTCCCCACAAGCAGATGACATCCTAGATATGGACAGCTCTATCAAGATGATAGATCAAGACTTCTCTGCTATTAACACTTCTCTTAATTTTTCATTACTTATGCTAGGCACGATAATCCCATAATTATAATTTCACAATCAGTAGCTACTATGATTAGCTTAATGTAGTGTTCCATCTGTAATGCCAAACCTGTATCTTTACATTTTCTATGGGATCTTTTAGTTCACCCAGTGGTTAACTTTAGCAATATCTCTAAAGTAACCATTGTTCAAATTGTATTTGTGGTAAGATTTATAAACCCACTTGTTCTCACTCCTGTTTGAATTTAACCCTGTAATGGAACACAAAAAGCAGGGCCAAAAAGAATATAATAAAAAAGGTTTTCACTAAAAGCCCATATGGAGTTTCTTGCTAATTGTTTTATATGCCAGGGTACTCTAGTGTTCTTAAACCTATAATAACTCCACGTTAGATACTTGGCTAGAAACTGCTAATTTTAACATCCCAAATAACGTATGAACAGCAGAACTGGAAAAGGGGCCTGTGTGTATCCATGGGGTATACATTTTGTTGTTGTTGTTTTGAGACAGAGTCTTGCTTTTTCACCAGGCTGGAGTGTAGTGGCACCATCTTGGCTTATTGCAACCTCTGCCTCCTGGGTTCAAGCAATTCTGCCTCAGCCTCCTGAGTAGCTGGGACTACAGGCATGCACCACCACACCCAGCTAATTTTTGTATTTTTAGTAGAGATGGGGTTTCACAATATTGTCCAGGCTGGTCTTGAACTCACAACCTCATGATCCGCATTTGTGGAGGATTTTGTATTCTACGTTATACATGGGAAAACTTATGTGTTGATGGGTAGAAGATGAGGGGCCAATGTGGGCTAGGAATTTTAATGGTGACTTTGTTGTTCCATTATCAATCAAAAACAGAAAATTAGTCCCCTCCTTTTAACCCACATAATAGGTTAAGAAGAACATTTCCAAGAGGCCTTCACCCTTTTGGACTGACATTATTTGCTAGGTCTCTTTTTTCAATGGTTTGGAGTAAATGTAAAGGAGACAATGATTAGAAATGTGTACCTAATAATAGGCTCTATAGTAGGTTCTACTGCAAAGGCTATGTTTACACAACAAATTTCTTCAAATTATCTTGCTCAAGTTAGATAATACAATTGCTCTAGGTTACTAACTACCTGAAAAAGAATCTGTGCAGTTGCTGACACTTCTGGTTGCACACAGATGATTACACTGGGTATTATAAGTGTGATAGAGAATTAGTTCCAGAGAGTTAATGAATAGGTTGTTTGGTTAAAATGTATAGACTTTTAATCTGGCTCATTCTTTGATGTCTTTTAGTTGGTTTGGTTCATGGGGACCTTGGCTTAGGAGCATACTTCAAATACTTGGTATTATCCTCCTAATATAATAGTACTCTGTTTTCTCTCAGAAACAGAATGTTTAAATGTTTGCATGAAGCCATCTTTAGAATGTTGAATGGTCTCTGTTTGATAAAACAAAAACTTAAATGAGTAATTATGAGGACATTGTAACCTGTGAATGACGTGTTGAGACTGGAAACACAAAATGATGAAGATTGAGTAGCACAAAGGCCCTAAGTTTGATTACATCATCACTTTAGTGAGACTCTAACCAAAAGAGAGGAACTGTTAAACAAAATAATGGCAGGCCATTGTTTTAGAGTTAGGTACTCTGCCTGGCCCCCAACAGGTGAGACCAAACCAAAATGGAATCATTCATGCTAAGTTTCATAATCAAACTGAAACTTTAAGTATGCAGATAGATCCCAGACAGATCAGATTATTTTGTTCCTCCTGAAAACAGAAGATTCTAACATAATGAGGAAGTCTCCTTTATTTTATGCCTTAACAACAACAACAACAACAAAAAATCTGAAGTAACCTGATGTTAGCCAAGCAGCAATCAGGTTGTTTTTTTTAATTGTTCTATTTTCTTGTTCCCACCTTTCAAAATGCACTGTTCTGCTATGTTCTAGTGGGATTTGAGACCAAGTGAGTCCATTTACAATGATGGCAGAGTGATGTCAATGTGTAAAGTTTTGGTCAACCTCAAAACTGAGACCAAAAGGATACTATTGTTAAATTAAGTTTGCCCTAAAGCTGCCTTCTTTCATATTGTAAGTTTAGTCAAAGATTTCTCTATAAATAATGAACTGTGACCCAACTTGATGTGTAAAAAGACTGTAAATTACTGATGTGGTTTGGCTATGACCCGACCCAAATCTAATCTTGAATTCTCAAGTGTTGTGGGAGGGACCTGGTAGGAGGTAATTGAATCAGGGAGGCAAGTCTTTCCTGCAGTGTTTTTGTGATAGTGAATAAGTCTCACGAGATCTGATGGCTTTAAAAAGGGGAGTTTCCTTGCACAAGCTCTCTCTTTGCCTGCTGCCAACCACGTAAGATGTGACTTACTCCTCCTTGCCTTCCACCATGATTGTGAAGCTTCCCCAGCTATGTAGAACTGTGAGTCCATTAACCCTTTTTCTTTTGTGAATTGCCCAGTCTCGGGTATGTCTTTATCAGCAGCATGAAAACGGACTAATACACCTACTGTTGTATTATAACAAGTAGCTGAGTCTCAAACAATCACAGCAGTAGAACTTTAGTCAACCACAGGCAGCCAACCGTTCAAAACAGGTTCAAATAAGGGAAATGCCCAGCAGTAACCAAGCCAGCAGTTTGTATACTTCACTGCCATTTTTTGTAAGTCACTTTCCTATTCTATCTATAAATGTTATCCAACCATGTGGCAGTCCTGGAGTCATTCTGAATCTATTCAGGTTGTAGGGCCTGCCTAATTCACAAATTATTCTTTGCTCAATTAAACTCTGTTAAATTTAATTCATCTAAAATTTATATTTTAATAGAACTAATATATGATATATATTTGAGAGTTAATATATAGTATTATTTGGGGAGATCTTACACCATCTTTAAGAATTTTATTACTACTCATAAGAAGGAAAAGATTTAATGTCCAGAAAATGTTCTGCAGGCCTTGAAAGAATTTTACTGTAGATTTAATTAGGTATTTTTGTTTTACGCTTTAACAATGACTTCAACATCTCCTTTATAGATGCCTTACCTTTTTAATTATTGGTTTAATATTACCAGACTGTAAGATATATAGTAAGAATCATTTCTTCTCTATGTTTTATTTCTAATGGTCAGATGGGTTTTGTATATACATAATCCCATTTTACAGTGAAGAAATTCAGACACATTTTGCAATTTTCTCAAATTCCTGTAGCTTGGTGAATGACAGAGTCAAGATTCAAATGAAATCAGTTTGAATTCTTAATCACAATGCATACTGTCTCCGTGAGGTCAGGGACTATATGTATTTTTCTTACTTTCTATACATCCTTTGTCTAGGACAGTGCCTAAAGTAATAGCCATTGATGGTTAAATGACTGATATCCTTTAAAGTGATTCAAAATATAGTTCAGATACAAAGAAATAGTCATAAGCTATTGTCTTGTTAATAGCTTTGTTAATGCCAATTTTTATATATATACTTACTCTTTTAATCAAAACTAATTTATTGAAATTTAATTTCTTAAATAGTTTTTTGACATATAGAGCAACAAATTTTTTTGTTTGCTGAGTTAAATCCTGGGAAATAAATACAGACACAGAAGAATTTGTCCCTGGGAAATAAAAAGAGACACACAAGAATTTCAAGTTCAGTCTCACTGTTAGCAGGGCGGTGCCAGTCTGGGTTCTAGAGTAAAGACATGTTGTAGAAAGGGTCTGTTTTAAGGCCACCTGAATCTTTGAAGGGAAATGTTAGATTTTGAAAAAGTAAGCAGCATTATCAAGAGAACTCAGACAAAAACTGCAATTTTTCAAATAAGCTTGTTTTCTTTCTTTCTTTCTTTTTTTTTGATTACATATGAGCATCTTCCTTGTGTTTTTTTTGTTTTTTTTTTTTTTTTTTTTTGCAGCTACAGTAATTGTAGGCACAATGATCTAGTCAAGAGCACTGATGTCAACTTTGGGAAGTCCAAGTTCCCCATGATTCACCAATTCATAATTTAGAAGTGAGATTTTAGGCAAATTGAGTTAAAAACTCTGGGCCAAAGTTCATTCAGATTGATAACCTGCTCCCCAACTGAAATTTTTCCCTTCTCTGAACAAGTTTTTCTTGGATAATCACAACTAAATCAACTAAATAAAAAAATATATAAACACATATCTCTCTAAGGAGCATAATAATAAGGAGCTCACCTGTGGACCAAAATTTACATTGCCAAGAATTAACATGCTCTTAAAAAACAAACAAACAAAAAAACTGGATTAGACTGATACTTTCTCTACATTTATATATCCTTTTCTATGTTATTTTACTCTTTATACCAATTATATTTATAGAAACTTTACTCAAAATTACAAAACTTTACTCAAAATTATTACAATAATTTACAATTAATTTTTTTTTTTTTCGACACAGAGTCTCACTCAGTCACCCAGGCTGGAGTGCAGTGGCGAGATCTTGGCTCACTGCAACCTCTGCCTCCCAGGCTCAAGCCATTCTCCTGTCTGAACTTCCTGAGTAGCTGGGATTACATGCACCTGCCACCACGCCTGGCTAATTTTTGTAGTTTTAGTAGAGACGGGGTTTCACCACGTTGACCAGGCTGGTCTTGGACTCCTGACTTCAGGTGATCTGCTCACCTCGGCCTTCCAAAGTGCTGGGATTACAGGTGTGAGCCACCATAGCTGGCCAAATTACACTAATATTTCATGTTCCCTATAGAGCAGGCTATTTTGGAAAAAATAAGAAAGCTCAATATCAGACAGTATTTTGGCTGAGTCTACCTACTGTCAGCTTTTGGTAAACAGTAAAATGAGAGTGTTTTTCTGTCAGTCCTAGTGGTTGGCTATGGCTTTGTTGATAGGCTTTGAGTAATGTCAGAAAAGGTCACCATTTCCCGCAAATTATTTTTCAAAACTGTTCTGTGACTCCAGAAATCCATACTATATACTTGGATACATAACTAGCATACATATCCAGTGGTTACTCATTAAATGTTAAGTGACTAAATCAGGCAAATATTATATAACAAGTGATGCATTACTGTGGTATTGGTTATTAACCCTTAATTCATGAAACTTTAAAGATACCTCTGTAAATATATTACATACTAGACTATTACGTTATTTCTCCTGAGAAGAGGCAAATAGAGTAAAAAGAATGAAACACTAGAGTAATGGAAGTCTAACAGGAGGTCTTTTCAAACCTGAAATGTGTAATAAGAGTTTGTTGGCATTTAGAACAAAATATGACACCTTGGCAGACTGAGTACTTTAAGCTGAAGGAAGTTTAGAAATCACAATGTAAGAAGGCCTCTGTCTGAATTTCCCCCTCCATTTTCTCCTGAAGACCTTCATATGATAGGTATCTTGCCCTGCACCCTAATGGAAAGAATGTCACAGGGAACACCCAGAAGAATCTAAATGAATGGGTTTCACAACATTTTCTCCATTTTATTATCCTAAACTGGATCGTACCCATCTATTTTTCAATCATATTTCTGCATGACTGTCCATAAAAGTACAGTTTATCCTGGGTCTTTGGATCTTCGTTTCTGGAGTCTCCCATGCATATCACATAAAACTTATATTAAATACATTTTTATGCTCTCGTTAATCTGTCTTTGTTGTGGAATGTCAGTCATGAACCTTATGATGGGAGAAGAAATTACTCTTTTTTTTCCTCCTACAGTTTAAAGTGTTCTAAAGTAAATGAAAAAGTTTAAAAGCAAATAGATCGATACCAAGATACATTTAGGTACTTAACAATTTGAATTTAGAATGAAATTTACCACTCACAAATGTTTGAATATCAATTAAAAAATATACTAAATATACAAAAAAATCTAACCCAGTGCAAAGTGATAGGAAAATTCATAGAAGTCATTTAGTGGATTCCAAAAATAGAGAACTTTAGCAGAACCATTCAATCCAAGGCCCTGCACATATTCCATCTAAACAGAATCTGCTCTGCAATTTGTCTTTCTGGGTATCTTTAAGGTAAGAAATCTGCCTATGCTGAGTCCATAGTTCCTGGACATTTGTACACTTCTTAAGGTTGTATGAAGAACCTTCTCCAAAGTCACCCATGGAAGATTTCACAGGTAATCTACTGGCCTTACCACTTCACAGCATTGTAAATGGCAATAAAAATAAAATAAAATAATATTAGTTATTTATTGATCTGCAACAAATTAGCTTCAAATTTAGCAATTGAAAAAAATAAATATTTATTATATTACAGTTTCTGTAGGTCAGGAACTCTCACATGGCATGGATTAGCTGGGTGCTTCTGGTTTAAGAACTCTTATGAAACTATGGTCAAGCTGTCAGCTGGGGCTATTGTCTTATCTGAAAGCTCAGCTGGATAAAATTCATTTCCACACTCATTCACACGGCATTTGACAGGCCTTAAGTCCTCATTGTCTGTTGTCTGTAGACATTTCGTTTTTGCCCAGTGGATCTCTTTAAAGGACTGTACATAACATGCAGCTTGTTTCTCCAAGAGAGAGGAATTCAAGAAACAGAGGAAGAAAGCCTCCAAGGCAGAAGCCACAGTCTTTTTATAACCTAATTAGATAATTAACATCTCACAACTTCTGACATTGTTTATTCATTAAAAATTAGTTACTAAACACCAATCCAACCCACACTCCTGAGGAGGGGATAACACAAAAGGCATAAACACAAGGTTTAAATAATCGAGGACTGTCTCACAGTCAGCCTACCATACTCAGAAGCAACACAACATGAAATACTAGGCTATTATTTAAATCATACCTTTGTTAGTGGGCTTTTATGCTTTAAACACTTAAGAAGATGAATACTATATATAGATTTTGAAAACTACTTTTGGGGTGTACAAATATCTTCACCTTTTTTTTCTGTTCACTTGGAAAAACTTCCATGTGTAAAGAGCCTGGCATACTGCAATCAGAGCATTTTATCATGACTTTCCAAAAGAAATTACCTCTAAATTATGCAAATTGTCTTAATCAACTGGATAAATATGAGCATGAACAAAACACAAAGTGTTCTTGAAAATTCATTGATATGCACGTCATCGTATTCATCATTCTTATTGTTAGTGAATGGCCTGTGAGAGTCCTAGGAAAACATGGGTTCTCTGTTTCAGTTTCTGTTCTCTGTTATATCTATTCTTTGTTGTTTTATTATTGTTGTTGTCAATTTGACAACAATATGCATAAAGCCATGAAAAAATAAGTGGGTGTAATATGGTTTGTTGACTGATAATTATATTATATAGTTTTGTAGTTTTACTGAAAAGAGATTGACCTAATTTTCTGTTTCTTTCTATTATAACTAGAAGCACACATATATATGTACATAGACAAAAAGGAAAATAAAAGAAAAACACCCTGAAAGAGCAACCTCAATACTCATAAAAAGCTACTTTTAAAATCAGGAAAAAATATAGTGACAAAACAAAAACGGAAAATATTATTTTGGTCTTATAAACTGTATAAAAATAATCATTGAAACTAAAACATATGTTATGTGTGGTTTTATTATTATCCCCAAATCAACAAGAATGTGAAATTCTTGAGAGCAGTGTTCAAAAATGTTATTTGTGTAATGTTCTCCCTCTCATCTTAGTGTTTTATCCAAAAATAAGCCATCAAATGATGATTAATTCTAACATTTATTTTTAAATGCCCTCTCTTATGCATCTAAATATACTTCTGAGAGAAATCAGAAGATAATCTCATCTCTGCTTCTCATTATATTTCCCCAGTGCTTACAGATTTTACTGAAACCTCTGAATGTCTGTTTTCATTCACTTTTAAAGATTTCATTATTATCTACAGACTACATTTTGGAAATCTATATCTATTATGACTATTTTTTTTCTGAAAATAGTTGATTTCTGATATTTTTATTTTAAACAATATTTTTATACAAAGCCTTTTATTTTATATAAAAATATTTTTTACAAAAGAAACCCAAAATGTTCCCAAATATATACTTTCTCACAAAACACAAAATTTCCAAATATTTAGTCATTTTTCATGGAGGCTATTTCACAACTTGTTCTTATCTTTCTATAATTCCTATCTAATTACTTCATAGCATAACATTAAGATTAACATGTTCTCACTTTGGGAGGCCGAGGCGCGCGGATCACGAGGTCAGGAGATCAAGACCATCCTGGCTAACATGGTGAAACCCCGTCTCTACTAAAAATACAAGAAAATTAGCCAGGCGTGGTGGTGGGCACCTGTAGACACAGCTACTCTGGAGGCTGAGGCAGGAGAATGGCGTGAACCCAGGAGGCGGAGCTTGCAGTGAGCCGAGATCACACCACTGCACTCCAGCCTGGGCGACAGAGCGAAACTCTGTCTCAAAAAAAAAAAAAAAAAAAAAAAAAATTAACATGTTCTGAATAGCCACAGGGAAACAGATCCCAATAAGGACCTTGATGTTTTAAAAGTTTGCATACATTCCTGGTTCTGAAAGAGAATTCTAACTGCATACAGTATTCTAATAGCTGTAGCCTGATATAATATTACCTGACAACAATATTCCTACATATGGTAGCCATGACAGAAATGAATAAATCCAAGTTTAAGAGGTAAAACTTGGAACAAAGAGAGGGGAAGAATGAGGCTAGAGAGGATTTATTAATCGCTCTAAGGTTTCTATATGGCTGGCTTAAAAATCATGTTCCTTCTACCAGGGTCATGCACTTACATAACAAAATCATTTCTCCTTTTGGCAAAGCTTTCACATGGGTCTCTCATGAAGTAGCCATCATGTGACACTATTGTATCTTATGTATTACATAGACTGACAGTATATTCAGGAATACCGCCCTTGTTCAGCAAATTTTGCTCAGATCTCAGCACTGTGTAAATTACCTGTGCATCTGAAAATTACTAGCATTGGTTCTTACTTCTTGGGAGTGTGTTTTTTTATGTGGATTTTGACAAAGTATTTGCCCTTAGAAAAATCTGTTCTTCCCTAGTCTGAGGATTATATTGAGTATTTCAATTACTCAAATATTAAAGCAAATAAAGGTGATGGATTTTAAATCAAATTTATATATAAATTATAGCCATATACATAATTCTTTTTTCTCTCTCTGAAACTGTATTGGACAACGCAATAATTTATAAAGTGAGAAAATGGCAATGCAAAGTGAAAATAATAGCAGTAAACTTATAGAAAAGAATTTATGAAATACTGCATGCTTTGAAATGGTTCATGAGTACATATTTTCTGTGAAAGATCAATTTGGATTTTGAAAAAATTAAAAAATGAATCCAAAGAGACATGATAAATACAGTTATCGACTCATTTGTTCAGCAATTTGCAGTTATCCAACAGGATTTATCCAGTGCTTCCTATTTTTGCTGGGTTGTGCTAAGCTGGCTACAGAAAAAAGAGAGTGTTCTTAAGCTTGTGAGATAAAGAGACAATATTGTCTTTATCTTAGAACAATTCCCAACTTTATAGACAAGTAACGTGGGACCTTTAGCAACTAGAGGTTGTCTTAGATTCTAAGACCTCACCCCACTTGGGGCTTGGTCATAAGCACAGAAATGGAAACTAGGATTTTAACAAATTTCACAGTGGTTTCAAGACTGTGGTCTTAGTTTCTGTGAGATAGGCCACTGGCCCATAGATTCCCTGCTGGAACCAATGCGATCATGGAAAGGGTCATGCCTAATCACTGCAGCATGTTCTTGCCCAACTCTTATGCGCCCCACCAACCACTCAGCTAAGAAAATAGAAATTAAACAACCCAAATATTCAAGCTCCAAAGCAGTGACTTATTACCAGGGGTGCAGCAGAACAAGCAGAGGGTAGTAGCACTAACCACCTGTAGCATCCCAGGAACAAGGACCATATTGATCTCAAGATGGCACTGACAGTTTTGGCATCCTCTCTGAGGGTGCAGATGGCTGGCTGAAGTTGTGCTGGGAGGGACAGTTCTGAATTTATGATCAGGCTTTTCTTGGGCCTTTAAATCCAGTAGCTTGTTTGAAGAAGAATGCAAAGACTTGAATGGGGTCTCATAGCATCATTTGAACAAGAAGGATGTGATTGTGGCATCATGTATTTATAGCCTTTCCACCCTCCCCGCCTCAGAAATGGCTTTCATTCCACTTACCACTGAGGGCAGGGCGGGTTTGCTACATCAGAACCAGGGACCCACATTTGACAGATGTTTTTAAATATAGACCTAACTCACTTTAAGTGAACTGTTTTGGATCAACTATTGCTCTATATTGCTTTCCTAACACCAAACAAAAGCTGAAGACTGATAATGAACTTTTTAAAATCAATTTTCTTAACTCAATGTATTAAAAACTAAATATTTCTAAATTTCTCATGATCACACTTGCTTGAGGCTGCTACAGCTTTGTTGCTTTGAAGTATGCCTGGCCTGAATTCTAAGTAATGACTCCACAAGACAGATTGCTTCATCTGGCATATTTTCATCTATATTTGGAGTTGATTTCTTACATGGATGATGTAAGAGTTACATAAAATAATGTACATAAAGTGCTTAGCACAATGACCTGCATATAGTAAATGGTCATTACATGTTTCATAAATGATAATTGAAAGAGATTATTTAGGAAATATCTCTGGACATGCATTGATATAAATTTTAATATGTTTGTACAGAAAAAGCCTACACCTGGTACTTTCACTCTAAAAAGTTCTCTCTGCAAGCTGAAGAAAGTAGTTACCAGTTTTTGCTGTAGATAGCTGGCAATCCTGAGAGTGTATTTGGTCAAATGTGGTGCCTGATGTCTGTGCCCTCTGTGAGTGAAGGCACACTGAAGAGCATTTTTCACTTCTCTAAACCTCAGAAAGTCCTGACTGGGCTGTCAAAATGGTCTTTAATAAAAGGGGAAGTGGCAGGATTGTGTATATGTAGCCTAATAGAGCATTTTATCTTACAGCACTCAAAGTGTTTCACAATAAATCCTTTCTCATCATGTAACAACAAACCTATGTAGTTCCCTGTAGTTCAACAAAAAGAAGCCAAATAACAGGCTTCATTTTTAAAAGTATAGGTTGTATCTGGTAGGATTTTCAGCCTATAGGAAACTCATGTTTGATTTGTTGAGTCAGACTTGCTTGGAAATATTTTGAGATTTTCTCACAGAGTTATCTGAATAAATTATCTCTTATTAATGCCATTGACTTTAGGACAAAACAACTTTATATACTGTTAAAACTTTACACAATACACATAATTGGCATATGCTCTCTAAAAGTTTTATTCCTAGAGCTAAGATTTACAAAACTACAACCTTGGTTAGAAGCAAACTTGTTTTGTTTTGTTTTAGACCGTGGGCAATATAACTATTTGGGGTACATTAATTATAAATATTTAATAGTAAAAGATAAATTATGAGATAACAGACAAGTAACCTAAAAGGGCAAAGCTAAGATTAAGAGGTAAAAATTTTTATTTTCTCATTGAAAAACAAGAAATGCAAAGGAGTCTACATGCTAGGACAAAAAAAGGTTTATCTGCTTCTCTTTCATTTCCTCCTACTTTTTGTTTCTATCCATATTTAAAAACACTAAAAATAAAGGTAAGGAGTTTCACTTTTAGAATTATCTAGCTACTAGCACCAATAATACTAACCTAGAGCTGGGAACAGTGGTTCATGCCCATAATCCCAATGCTTTGGCGGGCCAAGGCAGGAGGATTGCTTGAGCCCAGGAATTTGAGGCTACAGTGAGCTATGACCATACCACTTCCAGCCTGGGTGAAAGAGTGAGACCCTGTCTCTAAAAAAAAAATTAAAAATATATTAGTCTAATATATTCCCTTTAATTATGCACTTCATGTAAGATACTATTTTTCAACTGAAAACTGGAGGTCCTATAAAAAATATTTACCTGTCAAAAATGTCAGGCACACCTATCACAGTCAGAATTTGGTTAGATAGCCAGCAGCCAGTTGTACATTTAGCAGCTAGTATTTTGCTTTTGTCTCTAATTTTCATTGGTATTATCATGTATCTGATATGATGTCCTTACCTTTTTCTCTGGCTATATTTTCACTTGTTTTCACACAACCTTCTCAAGCCTCTCTAGTTATCAACCTTTTCTTTCTATCATTTTTTTTATTTTATTTTTGAGACGGAGTCTCACTCTGCCACCCAGGCTGGAGTGCAGTGGCACAATCTCGGGTTCACTGCAACCTCCGCCTCCCGGGTCCAAGCGATTCTCCTGCCTTAGCGTCAGGAGCAGCTGGGTTTACAGGCACGCACCACCACGCCCGGCTACTGTTTTTTTTTTTTTTTTTTTTTTTTTTTTTTTTTTTTTTTGTATTTTTAGTAAAGATGGGGTTTCACCGTGTTAGCCAGGATGGTCTCGATCTCCTGACTTCATGATCCGCCCGCCTTGGCCTCCCAAAGTGCTGGGATTACAGGCGTGAGCCACCGCACAGGCCTCTATCATTCTTAAATAATTACCAACACTAATTGTCACAATTTGGCAACTTGGTGTTCACTATTTAATCTGATGCAAGGTTAATTCAGTTTCACTAATTAGCACCTTAGTGTTGTAGCCACTGAGATTTTCCAGAATTTCACATTTGATAATGAACTACATCCATCCTTGAAAAGTATTTTTACCATGCTTCTCATTTTCTTTGTATCTCTGACTCCATTGGCCACTTATACTCGATTTTTCGTCTTAAATGAGTATCAGAGTTCTATCTTCATTTCATTGTTTAAATATATATATGTATATATACACATATATATGTGTATATATACATATATGTGTATATATACATATATATGTGTATATATACACATATATATGTGTATATATACATATATATGTGTTGTGTATATACACATATATATGTGTATATATATGTATGTGTGTGTGTGTATATATATATATACACTTCCAGATGCCAAAGGTTGAATACAGAATGATGAAGTTCAGAGTTAGTCTCTGACATACATTTCAGGGGAGGACACATCAGATAAATCCTTTAAAGCTGAAAGACCTGGGACTACCTGGAATGTTGTTGGTTAGCTGTTGATTCCTGTGTTTGCCTGTTGATTAAACACTGTGCTGATTGGAGGTAGTCAGCTGTGCACATTAGGTGCGTGTTTTGATATTATGGCATTGAGGTGCTTCTGCTGAGTATATGATGTCCCTGTCTTGGAATTAGGTTGCTCAGTCATGTCTGCATTGGCGTTAGCAGGTTGTAGCAGGATTTCCTCACACTAAATCATTCTTCACAGGTAATTTTATCTATTCGTATGAGTTTGATAACACACCGTTTTGAATCTATCCAAATCTATGAATGACAGATGATCAGTTTCTATGAAGTACAGATCAGAAGTTCTTACTCCCACCAGGACACTTCTATCAGAAACTCCCAGAAGATAAAAAGACAACATATCCAAAATTGAGCTAATATGTTATGCTTTTAACTTACTGTCTTTTTTTAAGCCATAATGGCTAAACCTCATAATAATTTCTTTAAAAACTACCTTGATTGAGTCATAATTTATATAGGATATAAAAGCCTGTTTTATATCTATCGGTTTTGACAAGATATACAATGGTGTAACTGCTACCACACACAATGTATGAAATATTTTTATCACTCTAAAATGTTTCCTTAACCACCTGCACACACAGCTCCACTCTCCTCGGATCCCAGGCAAACATTGATCTTCTTTTTCACTATATGTTAGTTTCCTTCATTTCAAACTTCATAAAAATGGAATCATAAAGTATGTACTGTTTTGCACCTATCATCTTTTGAAATCTATGTTGTGGTAGGTATCAGCAGCTCTTCCATTTAATGTTGAGTAGTTTTATTGTACAGTTACACTAAAATGTGTTTATTCATTCACCTGTTAAATGGAAAAATAGCCAATTATAAATAAAACTGTTGTGAAGTTTCCTGTACGAGCCTCAGTGTAGATACCTATATGTTTTCATTTATTTTGCATCAATGCCTAGGAGTGGACTGGTGAATCAATTCTGCTCAAAGGTATGTTTAACTTTATGAAAACTGACAAACTATTTTCCAAAGAGGTCTTACCACTTAACTTGCTGCCAGCAGTTTGTGAGAATGTCAGTTACTCCACATCTTACCCCATACTTGGTGTTATCAGTCTTTTAAATTTTAGCCCTTCTAGTTGGTACATAATATTATCTTATTGTGGCTTTAATTTGGGTTTCACAGATGACTAATAATGGTGAGTTTGTTTTAATTGCTGTATGCTCACACATCATTCTTCTAGATTGTCTTTTCAATAGTTTTTGCCCAATTTTATTGAATTGTCATTCTATTATTAAGATATAAAATCACAATATGTTCAGATATAATTATCTTTTCATAGATTCTTTTTTAAACTTACTGAACTTTATCATTTTAAAAATTATGGACTGTGATTTTATGTCAAGTCTAAACACTCCATATGCTTTTTTTTTTTTAATTTATGGTGGCTAAAACTTTGAGTACAATGTTGAAGAGGTATGGTAACAAAGGATAAATCAACCTTGATTCTGATCTTAGGGGGAAAGCAACTTTTTTCTTTTATCATTAATTATATTTACTACAGGTATTTGGAAGTTTCTTTTTTTATTATTGATTGAGGAAGTTCCCCTCTGTTTTCAGTTTACTGAAAGTTTTGTCATGAATCAGTGTTGGATTTGATCACATGATTTTTCTCTATCAGTTTATATTATCATATGTTTTCTTCTTTAGCACGTTTATGATGATTGGTTTTTGAACGTTAAACCAGACTTGCATAACCAGAACAAATATCATTTGGTCTACTCTGTAATTCTCATTATATATTACTGGACTCTATTTACTAATATTTTGTTAAGGATAATTGCATCTATGTTAATGAGAGATATTGGTCTGTTTTTTTCTTTCTTACCATGATTTAATCTGATTTTAGTATTAGGGTAACTCTGTCCCTATAAAATGAATTAGGAAGTGTTTCCTCTATTTCTAGAACTGTTTTTTTCTTTGGGGAACATTAAGTAGTTATCAAAACCTATAGAACTTTACAACATAAAGGGTGAACTTTAAAATATGCAACTTAAAAAAATTAATGTATCTGAGGATCACAGGAAAGAAGGCAGACCGTGATAAGAGATTCTAACTGTATTAAAAATGTATACAATAATCTCAAGGAATTTAGGGAGGGGGAAAGTGTGCTGACTTAAGTAACTTTAGAAATGAATAGAGTCTGTTAAGACTAAAATCAAAAGGAACCATACGTAAGTAGTGTGTACTTAGGTTTTCCCACAGGGTTTAGTGATAAATCTGACACTGCTATATATATGTATACTGGAATTGAATAATTAATTAAACGCATAGTGAATTTCAGACCCCGGTATTTCACTGTTGGTGTGGAAATTCAAAGATCATAAAGGTAAGGAGGCTAGAATGACTTACGTAGCAATAGAGTCAGAACAGATGTTAAGAACTCATGTTTAACTTAATATAGATACATATGGCTATATACACTAATAGTTTTATATACATGTATGTATATGTGTATATATATACACACACATACAAGCTAGCATATATATGTGTGTATATATGTGTGTACACACACATATATATATATATATATATCTTTTTTCTGTCAGCTGAAGAGCCCTAAAAAATGACACCCCAGTGGCAAGAAGAGCACCTGAAATGCATATCTTCCTTTCTAATACCAACCTCCAATACAATGAGTCAGGGCTTTTTGGAAAAACGAATGTTTCTAGAACTGTGGCAGGAAATATATTAGATGAACCTGAAACATACCACTGTGAAATACGGACGTACTTAAAAACAACAACAATAATAAGATAAACCAAATGTGCAAAAACAGCAACAAAAAAATTCCATTCTGGGATAGATATGTTGAAGGGGGCATAGTAACCAATTAAATGAGTTTTTCCAGTGCCAAATCTGTGACAATTTAAGCAATACCATAAATATTAGTACTGTTGGGCTATAACTCAAAGTATTAAATAAATGTTAATGAATGCATATATACATAAATAAATGATCAATAAAATTAATAAATGGGGTAGAGAAGGCAAATCTCTCATGCAGAAGAATTCCAAATAAATTATGGAATTTTATTCACACTGAAGAAGGCCAGCACAACTCTGCACTTGCTAAGTGTGGGATATACCTAGTGATCTTCTCCTAAAGAGTATAGTAGGGAAAGGAGAAAGAAACAAGAGTAACTTTAAACTGGAAAAATCTGAGAAACACTATTTAACTCAGATATTCAAGACTAACATTAACAATCATGTTAATGTTGAATCCTGTTGAAAATATGTATCCTTGAAATTATGTAATAAAAATGACATTTTAATGCTGTCATTTCCTCCCCTAAACCTATAATTCCAGTTTATTCATTAAAAAAATCAGGCAAATTCCAACCTGACCAATATTCCTTAAAACTGTCAAATACACCATAAACAAGGGAGAGTCTGGGAAATGGACTCAGCCAAGAGAAACGTAAAATCACATAACAACTAAATATAATGTGCTAATCTAGGTGGGATTGTGGAACATCAAAAGGACAAAACTAAGGTAACATGAATAGACTATATAAACTTTAGTTAATAATAATATATCAATATTGCTTCATCACATGACAAATGCTCCATATTAATATAATATGTTAGTAATAGAGGAAACTGATTACAGGGGTATATATAAGAACTATCTGTACTATCTTCTTAATTTTTCTGTTTAATAATAAAAAATAATATGAGATTTCCTGTCTGTTTTTAAGTCAAATCCAGCCAACATGAATCAACATAGTATACAATAGTGAATTATACTTGTATAGCAGTGAGTATAATAGTGAATAGTGAATAATACATGTTAAATGTTATAAAGACATTTATTGCTTATTATCAACATGGTTAATTCTTAAGGCATCAATATATACTTTCTGCATCTAATCTCATTTTCCCCTCAAGCCTACAGTATTACCGGACTAAAACTTTAATCAGTGCCTCAGGTAAGTTCAGCATACAGAGTTGTTTCTGCAAGTTAATTAAAAAGCAATTAAAAATAAAGTTTTATTTAACATTTTATAAAAATCAGTCACTGTAACCAAAATATGACTTGCTGAAATAATTAAAAATTGAGGCTTTAAAGAGCTACAAATAAATCTGTCTTTTTAGATGTAATGCAAATGCTTTTTTCGAAGGTATAAGTATGACTTGATTTTATTATTTCATTTACATATAAACCTATAGACTATACATTCCTTCTAAAAATCACCATAGAACCCTGAATATATTTTTTATAAGTGATCAGGCCACTTTTGGAATAGTTATGGCACTTTGCAATTAGTAGACCATTTTTCATAAAGATAAGTAAAAACTAAATTCTAATTCTCAAAATTCAAGTAATTCATTTAAGAGTACACATTTTCACTTACAATTGTAGATATTGCATAAAACAGAAAAAAGTTTATTTTTTAAATTTATTGTTATTGTATTATATTAGCTTATAAGGGCTGCCATATAAAATACCACGAACTGGGTAGCTTAAACAACAGATATTTATCTTCTCAAAGTTCTGGAGAAGATTCACTGTCAAGGTATTGGCTGGTTTCTCCTGAGGCCTCTCTCCTTGGCTAACACATAGCCAGCTTCTCTCTGTGTCCTCACTTGGCCTTTTGTCTGTGGACACATCCCTCATGGCTCTTTCCCTTCTTATGAGGATACCAGTAACATTAAATTAGGGCCCACCATTATGCATTCATTTTAACATAATTACATAACTCTTTAAAGACCTTATCTTCAAAGATAGTCATGTTGGGGGTTTGGGTTTCAACATGTGAATTTGGGTATGGGGGACACACATTGTAAAAGTTCACAAAAATAAAAGTATTATATTAGAAATTATATTTACTTTTAATAATTTGTTTTAGAAAGGAATTAATGATTTACATTTTGTTTTTATGTTACGTTTTTAGATTTCCTTTTGTTTCAGGTGTTCAATCACAGACATACTGTTTTATAGGCAAAGCAAAGTGTTTTTTATTCATTAAACCCTTTTACTTCTCTAGTGCCTTTCTAAGCTTTTTTTAACCTATTTTCCTCTTATTCTAAAATATATAAGGTTTAAGACAAAAACATAGATATTTTACCAGCTCTATGCATTTTGTTTTAATTAGGGAATACTTTGTTTTTAAAAACACGCTAAGGAGTACTAAAAGAAACCATAGCGTTGGATTCAAAACTGAAATAGGTCAACTTTGCTTTTATAATCACAGACAATGCAATTTAACATCATCAATAACAACATGCTTTTTGCCTTTTCTTTCTACACTTTTGGCTACATATACTTTGAATGTATCTGCATATGCCAACAATTTTATAATATTATTTTTAAAACAGAGGCTAGAAAATAATACATATTTCTTCTAGTGCAATTGAAATTTGTTTGTAAATAATTATTATTCATACTTTAGAAAAGTTTTTTTTTAACTTTAAAACTCATTACTGTAAATCTTAAGCAACTTGTTAAGATTGTGGTAAAATTTTAGAAAACCTTTATTGTTATTTTTCATATATGTATGAACAACACTGTGCATTTCAAAACTTTTGGCATAGTAACTTAAATGCTTTTGGCATTGGCAACTGTCTTTAATCCTTAAATTAAGTTTGTTCTTGAATTTTCATTACAGGATGAACTACTATGATTTTATATTATGCTCATGGAGGTTAGTATCTTGGATCAAATCACTAAGAAACAAATACTTTCTAATGCTCACATATGATACAATTTCTTATGAAAATACATGTCTTGCCTTTAGCAAATGTTTGCTTTTGGTATGATATAAAAGTTACTTTATTATAATTAACT
Source organism: Homo sapiens (assembly GCF_000001405.40). Lineage (NCBI taxonomy): Eukaryota > Metazoa > Chordata > Mammalia > Primates > Hominidae > Homo > Homo sapiens. The sequence goes on from NC_000002.12 coordinate 194,112,891, forward strand.
TCCAAAAGTCAAAGTAATTCCTATTTAGGTTATTGTTAATTTTATCACTTCATTTCATATTTTCCATTACATTTTACTTATTTTTTGTCAGTTAGTTCTTTAATAAATAAATGTAAAAGTGAATGAGTAGGCTACCATTCATATAAATACAAGTCAGAATTCTTCAATGTCTTTCATTTTATTGAAATAGGCTAAATGTCTTGCCAAATTGTTCTTAAAATTTTTTGAACTCAGAGTCTTGACTGTTTTGCATTTCATTTAAATTTAAGTTTCTCATCCAATCTTTAAAAATATAGCTTAGAGCCTTTAAAATGTTGCTTCATGCATATTGTAAGATTTGGAGAGCTTTATAACATGCAAACTATATCATTACATTTACTCATTAAAAAATCAACTTCAAGTGTGTTTAAAATTCTCCATCTATCACTGAACTGAAAATAACACATAATTATTTCAAAATACCAAAGTAGTCAACAACTTAAGGAGCTGTGCATTTTTTTCAACAAGATTAAAGAAATGAGCTGTGCACAGCAAATATTCTGCATAAATAAGGTTTTAAAAGCACAACAGCTCTTCTACAAGACCTTTAAAAACAGCTTTTTTGTCATGTGTCTGGCAGTGAATATTGTTCAAAAGCAGGTTACAGTAATTGAGAGCTTGCTTAACTTAGTGGAATCAAATCACAGAATTTTCTCTAATAAAAATTTTAGTTATTTCTTATAATAGGTAACAGTAGTTGTCAACTAATTAGTATTTTGTATAAATGGGCATTTTATTGTTTATTTTATTTGTTACATCAATTATTTTTTGAGCATTTTGCCATTATTTTGATTAACTCTTTAGTACATTTGGGACGCATGAATCACTTTTTGAAAAATATTTAAGTTTTGCAAATGTTCATACCACAATACATCAGATTTAGCATTTACAGGCAGTTCAGTTCCAGACCACCACAATAAAACAAGCACCACAATAAAGCAAGTCACACGTTTTAGTTTACTAGTACATATAAAATGTATATACACATATATAACTTACAGTCATACATACTGTACTGTAGCTTATTAAGTATGCAATTGCATTATGTCTAAAATAAGTATACATCTTAATTAAAAAATCTGTTATTGCTAAAAAAAATGCTAATGATCATCTGAGCCTTCATCGGGTTGTAATCTTTTTGTTGGTGGAGGATTTTGCCTCTGTGTTGATGGCTGCTGACTAATCAGGGTGGTGGTTGCAGAAGCCAGAGATGGCTGTGGGAATTTCTTAAAATAAGACGATAATGAAGTTTGCCACACCAATTGATTTTTTCTTTCATTAAAGCTTTCTCTATAGGATGTGATGCTTTTTGGTAGCATTATACCCACAGTAGTGTTCCTTTCAAAATCGTAGTCAATCTTGTCAAACCCTGCTATTGCTTTATTAGCTAAGTTTATGAACTATTCTAAATGTTTTGTTATTATTTCAAGAATGTTCACAGCATCTTCACTCAGAGTAGATTTCACTTGAAGAAACCACTTTATTTGCTCATCTGAAAGAAGCTATTCCTTATTCATTCAGGTTTTCTCCTGAGATTGTAGAAATTCAGTTACATCTTCAGGCTTCACTTCTAATTACAGTTCTCTTGCTATTTCTACCCCATCTGCAGTCCCTTCTTCCACTAAAGTCTTGAACCCTCTCAAAGTCATCCATAAAGGCTAGAATCGACCTCTTCCAAACTCTGGTGATGTTGCTATTTTGACCTCTTCCTATGTGTACTAGGACTTTATGCACTAAGACTAATTTGGGGGTCAGATTAAATTTGTCCTTTTTGGCTATTTTAAAGACATTGAGGTACCATTGGAAATTTTGAGTAAAGGAGCAACATGTTCTGACTTATACTTTAAAAGTATAATTGTGGCCTATGAGGATGAAATTAAACTGTTGAGGAATTTAAAATAACTTATATACATGCCAGAAAAGAAAAAAAACTCTTTAAAGAAACACAGCAAAATTCAGCGACTAAAACTACAAAAATTCCAATGTCCAGCTTTCAATAAAAAAGTATTAGATACACAAAGAAGCAGAAAAACATAAGACATTTTGGACATGTTTTGTAAAATTAAACATACACTTTTCATAAAATCCAGCAATGTCATTTCTATGTACTTACTTAAAAGAAATTTAAATGTTATGTGTACACAAATTCTGTGTTCACTTATGTTAAATTTCTTTATTATCTCCAAACCTGGGTGTATAAAAAACTGACCTGTTTTTGTAAGACCACTTCTGGCACCAAATGTGTATGTGTGTGTGTGTTTTCCATACCAAACAGTTATCTAATATTAGCTGGGTGTTTTATAATTAACTTTAATTTGGACACTACTTGGAGTTTGTCTCATATTCCACAAGTTACGGACTCAGTCCCACTACACTGTCCCCACTTCAGATGTTAATCACAGTACCCAGGTTTCCAGTACTTCTGACTAGCTACAAATCTAAAGTTTCCATTAGCCCCACCTCTGGTTCCATAATTTTCTAGTATGGCTCACTGAACTCAGAAAAAAAAAAAAAAAAGAAAACAACTTGCTTATGTTTACTGTATTTTTTAATTAAAAAAAGAATACAACACAAGAACAGCCAGATGAAAGAGATGCATAGAGTAGGGTATAAGGGAAAGGGGTGCACAGAGATTCCATGCTCTCTTTGGACACTTCAGCTCCTAAATATGTTCACCAACTCAGATGCTTTCTAAATCCCTTCATTTAGGGTTTTTTTTTAATGAAGCTCTCATTACATAAGAATAATTGATTCAATAACAGGTCATTAGTGAATAACTCAATATTCAGTCCTCTTCTCTGGCCACAAGTCCAGGGGTGGGGCTGAAAGTTTCAATCCTGTAATCCCACGGTCTGTTCTCCTGGCAAACAGCCTCCATTCTGAAGCTATCAAGGTACCACCAAGAGTCATTTTATTAGCGTAAAATGAGATATGATTGAAAAGAGCTTATGATGAGTAACGAAAGATGATTCTCTCACTTTCATTTCTAAGAAAACTACAAAGGTTTTGGAAGCTTTGTGCCAGGAAACCAGAACAAAGATGAAATATATATTTCTTATTATATCAAAATAGCACAATGATGTTTATCTTATGAATAAGTTATGACATTCTTACAATGATATACTATTCAGCAATAGATAACAATGAAATCCAGATACACACAACAATGTAAATTAATCTCAGAGCAATTATTAAGTGGTAGTAAATTCAAATGGCTAGATACACACATATATGATTTTGAGATAGGTAATAACATATGGACGGAAAACAAATAGATAATTGCCAGATCCTGGAGTAAAAGTAGTTGACTACAGCATGTAATGAAGGGACATTCTAAAAGGGATACAGCTGTAATACATCTTGATTTGGGTGGTAATTATGTGACTTCACTGTTCTGTCAAAAATGTTAACTACAATAATAAAAAGAGCATTACTTGATGTAATGTATACCTCAAAAATTATAAAGAGGCAACATTATGTAAAACTTTAGATAAGTCCTTCAATAAAATGAGCAAGATCCTTGAAAAACTATGATCAAGACTAACCCAAAAACAGACAACATAAAGAACTTTATATCTACTATAGAAATGTACCTATATGAAGAAAATTTAAATAAAAATAGGGAAACCTAATAAAGAGCTGTATTATGCCTATAGATTAAAAATTCCACCATAAAGAATAAATTTTTCTAAGTTGATCTATCTATCTATCTATCAATCATCTACATAGTAATTGTAATAAACTTCCAACATTGCTTTTTATGGAAACTGATAAAATAATTATAAAAGGGAAAACAAGCAGCAAGAATAAGGACCATGCTCATTAAAAATACAAGAAGGTACTTTCTCTTTCACTTAATTCCTATATAAAAGATGTGTAATTATTCATGAATAGAAAAATGAAACAGAATAGAGAACAAAATGCAGACAAATAGAGATATGCAAATTTGACATATAAAAAATGGAGATAGAACTCTGGATAAATGAGTTTTTACACTGCTATAAAGAAATACCTGAGACTGGCCGATTTATAAAGGAAAAAGGTTTAACTGACTCACAGTTACGCATGGCTGGGGAAGCCTCAGGCAACTTACAATCATGGCAGAAGGGGAAGCAGGTGTCTTCACAAGGCAGCAGGAGACAGAAGTGCAAACAGGGGAATGCCAGACACTTATAAAATCATCAGATCTCATGAGAACTCACTGTCATGAGAACAGCATGGGGAAAACCACCCCCATGTCCAACCACCCCCCTCTCTAAAGACGTGGGGATTACAGGTCCCTCCTTTGACACATGGGGATTATAATTCAAGATGAGATTTTTGGTGGAGACACAGAGCCAAACCATATTAGGAGTGTTAATAAATTTATAAATATTTTTATTTTCATAATATTTAAAAATAGCATTTAGTCACTATTTCACACACTACACAAAAATATTTTCTTGTTGAAATGAAGGCTTGAATATTAACAGCAAAGCTTCAGAATGACAGAGTATTTTAAACAAGATACAAAACACATAAATCAATAATTTAAAAATAAATAAATTTGACACAAACTAAATTCAAAATGCCAGTTTATCAAAAATTCCCAAAAGAAAATGAGCAGACAATCCATAACCTGGACACAAAAGTATAGAATAAAAATAAAGTCGATTATTGGTTAATATCCTGAATTTTTAAAGAACTCCTAAAATTAATTTAAAAATATAGAAGTCCATGATTATAATGATCAAATGCATGTCCAAGAATTTCTGAGAAAGAAGAAAGGTTGGACAATAAATATAAACAACAACAACAAAAAGGTCAACCATATTAGTATCATTGAAGTAAAAAATGAAAAAATGAGAAAATATTATTTAATCTTAACCAATTGGTCAAAATTTTGAATGTCATAATTTTGAGTTTTGATGAGGATGTAAAATAACAAGATTTGTTATAGAAGGTTGAATCTCATTCCTAGATATTTACCTTAGAAAACTCTCACACGAACTCAATGAATAATTTTACCTACATTCATAGCAGCATTGACTATAAGAGTAAAAATCATAGAAATTCCCTAATTGAATATAATATCTTATTATAGGATAATCATATAATAAAATACTCTGCATATGTGAAATTTAAAAACCACAACTATATGGAGTGACATAAATGAATTCCACAATATATATATTGTACCACAAAAGAAAGGCACAGAAAAATCCAAACAATATAATGTAATTTATACACATTTTAAAATTTCAAAAATTAAGTGTGAAATTCCTTATAATAAAGCCATAAACATTTTGAAAGCAAAGTATTACGGTAGTGGCAAAGTAGCATTTAACTGTAAAATTGAAAGACATAGGTAGTATTCTATTAGGCTAGTTTTTAGATACTTGTTCATTATGAACTTTATAACTTATGTATCTTAAATCTGTAATTTTATATGAATCAAATGTTTTAAATAATAAATTTTAAAATTAACTGACATATTTGTATATAAATAATATATAATAAATTTTGCTCAGTAATAATCATTTAGCTCTATAGATAACAGTCGAGATTGCTTACTTGACTTAATACTTTAGAAAGCAGAGTAGAACTTAGAATGTATAAAATAAGTAAATATGTTAAAGTAATCAAAGAAAGCATGAGCATTCATTTAATCACATAAGGAAAGTATTTTGTTATTTGACAGTGGTTTTCATTAATGCTAACTTGAGAATGCTGCAGAAGTCACACATCTGTTCTTTGCAAATGAATTTACTACCAAACCCAAGAAAAAAATTATATTTAAAAATGCCAGTTTATAAAACTGAATGAAATCTTATATATAAATATATACTTTTATTTTTAACCTAAAATTTTGATTCTCTCAATTCTTTGCAATTTAATGTTCTAGTTCAAGGTAGTTGTATTCAAAAAGTACTTTAAAATTTGATAAAATTTAGAGTTTGAAGTTAAACTATTATGACACATTCATTGAACATAAAATAAAGGACACATAGGTATGCATCACTTTTTAGAAGACAGTTACTACATAGATCCCACAATCAAAAGGAGGGGATTTTACAAAAGCAAAAACACTAGGAAGAGTAGATCTTTGTATGGTACCAGAGAGGATCTGTTCAACTGGGAAGTTTTTATATATTTCAGACCAATACATTTAACTACTTAGAAATAAGCACAAAATCCTTGAAAACTTCCAAATACTTTATATATGTTAAAAAATTAAATTTGTGGGACAGGTGCAATGGTTCATGCCTATAATCTCAGGACTTTGCGAGATTGAGGCAGGAGGGTCACTTGAGGCCAGGAGTTTGAGACCAGGTCAACACAGTGAGAACCTATCTCTATAAAACAATTACCAAAATTAGCTGGGTTCTAGCTAGTCAGGAGGATCACTTGAGCCCAGGAGTCCTAGCTACTCAGAAGGCGGAGGCAGGAGGAGTGCTTGAATTCAGGAGTTTGAGGCTGCAATGAGCTGTGACTACACTACTGCGCTCCAGACAGGGTAAGAGTGAGACCCTATTTCTAAAAAAAGAAAAGAAAAAAATTGCAATTCAAATTTTTTCTCAAAGAACATTCTAGTCTTAGATGACTTCATTGGTGAATTTTATCAAACATTCAAAGATGAAATAATATAAGCCTTGTGAAAATTCTTTTCAGTAAGAGGCCAGTATAACCATAATATCATGACTGTACACAACATTACAAGGAAAGAAAAAGAACAACATTTTTTATTAACAGTGTTTCAAAATTTCTTAAGAGAATCATAGCAAAATTAAATCAATAGTATATTGCACAAGTTTTAGCTTTCTCTTCAAAGGATTGATAATTAAGTATGCAGAAATAAACTGGCAAGAGACAAATTAACAGGAGAGAGGGCATACAAAATGTATTAATGTTCAAGTGCACAGGAGTCATGCAACGTATAAAACTGAAAGAAGGGCCAGATGGTTGAAGCTTAAATACCCTATTCATAGGGGAGAGGGAAATGAGGGATGTAGGCAATTTTCTCAGAAGAGTAAATTATTTTTAAGGGAGATGAATGAGAAAAGAACAGAGAATAGCCTGGGATTAAGTTCCTCTGGGGCCTAGGTGTGGTGTTAACTCTAGTATTCTATCCTGTAAATTAATCTTCTCTGTTTGATGAAATTATAGGGAGGTGGCCTAGGACAATTTTATTCCTTCTGGATGAATGTCCCTTATTTACAAAGGAAAGAGAGAGTTGTGTGTTGGGAGCAAGGGAGGGGGTTTGGTTCTTCCTTAGTTAAAATCACTCAACATAACAAAGCACTACAATTTGGAGCATTCTTTTCAGAGTCCTGACAATATCATTAAATATTATTTATCCCACTAACACAAGGTTGCTTCAATATGTTTAAAAAATCAGTCAATAGAGGAAGATATAGATCTTCCTTATGGAAGAAATCTGAGCAATTCATGAGGCCCTTAGTCCCCAAGGAGGCAGAGCATAACCCTCACATCTTCAGCATGAGCTGCACATAATGCCTTCTTTCTAAAGTGTGAAATGTGTAAAGCGGAGCAAATAGATAACTTTTCGGTTGAGAAATATGACTGAACTACCTTAGTCAGACAATCATGGTCAACATCCCAACATCCACACTGCTAATTATGTTGGTGGTATGTACTCTTGAAATTACAGGATGAAAATGGTACCTAACCTATGTGGTGTGGTGTTCCTTCTCAAAACTCATACTCTGGCCAAAACAGGAGAAGAACATTGGCACATTCCAATTAGGGTGATTTTACAAAATGCCTGTCCAATATATTTCAAAACTGTCAACATCATTATAAACAAGAGAAGTCTGACAAACTGTTCCAGCAAAAAGGAGCTGAAGCAGACATGACAACTAAATGCAATATGGTATTCTAGATGGGATCCTGCAACATAAAATGATATTAAAAGTGTGCTTAGGATGTCACCAAAATGATGGAGTAGGAACAATCTGGCATCAGTCTCCCTAACAGAAAACCAAAACAGTAACAAGATTATAACCAGAAATATCACAGAATTATAATTTGACACTGGGAAAATCTGAGGGGCCACAAAGAAGTGAGAAACCACTAGCAAAAGGAAAGAGAAATGGACCTCTCTAATCAGAACAACCCTCCCCAACTCTGCCAGGTCCAGTGGAGGAAAGTTCCCCCAGATTCATGATTTCTACACTGGAAAAAGTAAGATCAAGGTGGAAAGTCAGGTTTCCTATCATCTTGGGTTGCTTCACTTGAGAACCATCTTTGACTTACCACATGGGAAGCATTGCAAGTGTATGTAGATGAAAACTTCTGAGGGCAGCTAGAGACGAATAGTGGAAGTGAGGCTAGAATCAGCCAGTGTGTAAAACTTGGTGAGCTGCTTTTCATCTCAAGTAAAGGGAATACCAAATCAGAGTGGCTGTTCCGCAGCACACTGCAGGAGCTGTGCTTCATGGGTCCTCTGGGCACAAAGCCTTGGCCAGCCTTTCCACACAGCTGGAATATTCCCTTTGGAATTCCCCCAAACCATCTGGGACAACAACGTTCCAAACTTAATTTAGGGCTGTGGCAAATCTGCACTAAGGATGTCATCTAGCAACAAAAAGAAAAAAACAGGGAAGTATGACCTCCCCAAATGGACAAAACAAAAGCCAGTGAGTGACCCCGATGAAATGGTAATGTGAGAGCTCTCAGAACAATAATTCAAAATAGCATTTTGAGAAAACTCAGCAAATTTCAAGATAACACAATAAATCAATTTAGAAATTTCTCAGAGAAATTTAACAAAGAGATTAAAAAATAAAATTAATCAAACATACACCCTGGAGTTGAGAAATGCAATAGCCATACTGAAAAGTGCATTGGAGGGATGGCTCGCAACAGCAGAAGAAAAGAATCTGTGAGTTTGAAGGCTGATTATTTAAAAATATACAGTTGTGGAAGAAAAAAGAAAAAGAATGAAAATGAACAAAGAATGCTTGCAATATCTAGAGTATAACCTCAGAAAAACAAATATATGCTACTGACTTTCAAGAGAGAGTTGAAAAAAATCAAGGAGTAAAAAAGTTATTCAAACAAACAATAACAGAAAACATTCCAAATACAGAAAAAGATCTAAATATCCAGGTACAGAAGGTTAAAGATCATCAAAGAAATTCATTTAAAGTAAGACTATTTCAAGGCATAAAATAACCAGACTCTCAAAGGTTAAGGACAAACAAAAGATCCTAAAAGCAGCAAGAGAAAGGAAGTAAATAAAATATAAAGGAGACTCAATTCATTTGGCAACAGACTTCTCCATGAAAACTATACAAGCCATAAGGGAGCAGAGATAACATATTCAAAGTGCTGAAGAAGAAAAAAAAAATTGCCACCCTAGAATATTGTGCTCAGCAAAGCTATCTTTAAAACATGATGTACAGATACTTTCCAAACAAACAAACAAACAAACAAAAAAAAAACAAAAAAAGCTGAGGGAATTCATCACCACTAGACTTTTCTTACAAGTAATACAAAAAGGAGTTATTTACTGTGAAACAAAAGAATGATAATTTGCAACTAGAAAATATCTGAAGGTATGAAACTCACTAGTAAAAGTAAGTACAGACAAATTCAGAATACTTTAATAGTGTATTTATGGTATACAAACCACTTATATATTTAATATGAATAATAAAAACTAACAAAAATCATAATGACAACAATTTGTTATGAGATAGGATATACAAAAAGGTATAAATTGAGACAGCAAAAAGTGAAAATTAAGAGCGGAAAAAGTTAAAGCATAGGGTTTTTTACTTTTCTCTTTGTTTCTTTTCTTTTTATGATCAAAGTTAAATTGTCATAAGGTTAAAATAACTTGCTATAATATTAAGATTTTTTTTCTAAGCCTCATGGTAACCAAAAAGCTAAAACAGATACACTAAAAATAAAAAGAGGATTTAAAACATACTACCAGAGAAAATTACATAACTACAAAGGAAGACATGTAATGAAATAAAAAAGAAAGAGAGTAGTTACAAAACAACCATTTAAAAAGTAACAAGATGCTAGTTCATCCTTACCTATTAATAATTGAGTGTAAGATGACTAAGTTCTCCAAAAGAAGAAATTATGTCTTAATGGATTAAAAACAAGACCCCAAGTATATAGGTCTTTTCTTGTTTTTCATCCATTCAGAGTTTCCTACAAGAAACACCTCTCCTATAAAGATATACATAGACTAAAAATAGGCTGGAAAAAGATATCCATGCACGTAGAAACCAAAAAAGATCAAAATGAGCAACGCATATATCACATAAAACAGACTTCAGGCCGGGCACGGTGGCTCACACCTGAAATCCCAGCACTTTGGGAGGCCGAGGCGGGCAGATCTCGAGGTCAGGAGATTGAGACCATCCTGGCTAACATGGTGAAACCCCATCTCTACTAAAAATACAACCATAACAACAACAAAAATTAGCCGGGCATGGTGGCACATGCCTGTAGTCATAGCTACTCGGGAGGCCGAGGCAGGAAAATCGCTTGAACCTGGGAGGTAGAGGCTGCAGTGAGCCGAGATCGTGCCGCTGCACTCCAGCCTGCGTGACAGAGTGAGGTTCCATCTAAAAACAAAACAAAACAAAACAAAAAACAAACAACAACAACAACAACAAAATAAAACAGACCAAGTCAAATCTGTAAAAAGAAGCAAAAAAGTTTATTATATAGTGATAAAGGGGTCAATTCAGCAAGAAGACATAACAATTGTCGTAAATATGTATACATACATACATACACACATATATAAAACAAATATTAATAGATCCGAAGGGAGAGATAAAATGCAATAAAATAATAGTAGAGGACTTAAATACTCCACTTTCATCAAAGGACAAATCATCAGACAGAAAATCAACAAATAAATAATGGAGTTTAACTGCACTCTAGACCCAATGGATCTAACAGACATTTACAAAATTCTTTATTTAATTGCTATAGAATATAGATTCTTCTCATCAGCATATGGAACATTCTCCAAGATAGATGATATATTAATTTACAAAACAAGTTTCAACAAATTTCAAAAAATCAAAATCATAGTAAATATCTTTTATTACCACAATGAAATAAAAGTACAATTTAGTAATGAAATCAACTTCGTAAACTATGAAAACACATGGAAATCAAACAAGGTGTTCCTGAAAAATCAATGGGTCAATAAAGAAATTAAGACGGAAATTTGAAAAGTTCTCAAAACACATAAAAATGAACATACCACATACCCCAAAGCAATGCAAACAGGACAGATGATAGCAATAAATGCTTACATCAAAAAAGTAGAAAGACTTCAAATAAACTACCCAACAATGAACCTCAAAAAACTAGAGATCCACAAAAAGAAACCCAAATTAGTGGGAGGAAAAAAATAATAAAGATCAGACCAGAAATATAGAAAGTAGAGACTAAAAAATAAAAGATCAACAAAATCAAAAGTTAGTTTTTTGGAAAGATAAATAAAATTGACAAACCTTTAGCTAGTCTAAGAAAAAAGAGAGAAGGCCCAAATAAACAAAATCACAGATGAAAAAGGAGACATTACATGCAGTACTACAGAAATACAAAGAATCATTGGAGAATACTATACGCAACTATACATCAACAAATAAGAAAACCCGGAAGAAAGGAATAAATTCCTGAACACACACAACCTACCAAGACTGAACCAAGAAGAAAGAGAAAGTCTAAACAGGCCCAATAATGGGAAACAAGATGAAAGCAATAATAAGTCTCTCACCAGTGAAAAGCCTGGGACCTGATAGCTTCACTGCTGAAACTTAAGAATTAATAACAGTTCTACTAAAACAATTTCAAAACAAAAGAAAGGAAAGGAAAACTTCTAAACTTATTATATAAGACCAGCATTATCATTATACAAAACCCAGACAACAATATAATTAAAAAAGAAAACTCCAGGCCAATATTTTTGGTGAAAATAAATGCAGAAATCTTCAAAAAAGAAAATACTAGCAAACAAAATTCAACAGCACATCAAGAAGATAATACATGACAGTCGAGTATGATTTATCCCAGGGAGGCAAGGATGATTCAATATAAGCAAATAAATAAACATGATACATCACATTAACAAAATGAAAGACAAAAAACCATATGACCATATCAGTACATGCTGAAAAAGCATTCTATAAAATTCAACATCTCTTCAGGACAAAAACTCTCAACAAACTAGGTATAGAAGGAACATACCTCATAACAAGTCCATATAGGGCAAACCCTCAGCCAGTACCATACTAAATAGAGAAAAAAATAAAGTATTTCCTCTACTACCTAGAAGAAGACAATGATGCCCATTTTCACTACTGTTATTTAACATTGTATCAAAAGCCCTATAAAGAGAAATCGGGAAAGACAGAAAAAAAATTAAAGGCATTTAAATTGGAAATAAGTCAAATTGATGTTGTTTGCAGATGACATCTTTTTTTATTTAACATTTATTTTAAGTTCAGGGTACATGTTCAGGTTTGTTATATAGGTAAACTTGTGTCATGGGGGTTTGTTGTAAAGATTATTTTGTCACCCAGGTATTAAACCTAGTACCCATTAGTTATTTTTCCTGATCTTCTCCCTCCACCCACCCTTCACCCTACGATAAGCCCCAGTGTGTGGATATTATATTACATTTAGAAAAACTTAAAACCTTGACCAAAAAGGTGTCAGAACAGAAAAACTAAGTCACTAAACTTGCAGGATACAAAATCAACATACAAATATTACTGCTACTTCCATAGACTATCAGTGAATAATCTGAAAGGGGAATAAAGGAACAATATCATTTATACTAGTTACAAAAAATTTAAAAGATGTTGGAATAAATGTAATCAAAGAAGTAAAAGCCTTCGACAATAAAAACTATAAACACTGATGAAAGAAAGTGAAGAGGACATGAAACATGGAAAGATATCTCATGTTCATGGATTGGAATAATTAATTTTGTTAAAATGTCCATTCTTAACCCAATGCAATCTACAGGTTCGACACAATCTTTATCAAAATATCAATGACATTCTTCACAGAAATAGAAAAAAGCAATCCTAAAATTTGTACAGAGCCATGAAAGACCCTGAATAGCCAAATCAATACAGAGCAAAAAGAACAAAGCTGGGGCATCATGCAACCTGATTTCAAAGTACAGTTGATCCTTTAACAACTGTTCAGGTCCACTTATATCTGAATTTTCTTCTGTTGCTGTCACCTATAAGACAGCAAGACCAACTGCTCATATTTTTCTTCCTTCTCTCCTTACTCAATGTAAATACAACAAGAATACTTTTATGATGATCCACTTAAGGAATAGTAACTATATTTTCTCTTCCTTGTGATTCTTAATAACTTATTGTAAAAATGCAATATATAATATATAACATATATGCTAATACATTATTTATGTTATTTATAAGGCTTCTGGTCAATAGTAGGCTATTCCTAGTTAAGTTTTTGGGAAGTCAAAAATATAATAATTTTCAAGTGTGTGGGAATTGGCACTTCTAACTCCCTGTGTTGTTCAAGATTCAACTGTAACTACAAAGGTATAGTAGCCAAAACGATATGGTACTGACATGAAAATAGATACATAGACCAAAGAAACAGAATAGAGAACTTAGAAATAGATCTGCACATTTACAGCGAACTCATTTTTGACAAAGTCAGCAATAATATATATCGGGGAAGGGACAGTCTCCTTAATGGTGTTGGGAAAACTAGATCTCCTTATGGAGAGCAATTAAACTAGACTTTTATCTTTCCCTATGCACAAAAATCAAATGGATACATTAAAGACTTAAATGTAAGACCACAAACTATGAAACTACTGGAAGAAATCATTAAGAAAACACTTCAGGACATCAATTGTTCTGAGCAAAGATTTTTGTGGTAAGACCTCAAAAGCACAGGCAACAAAAGTGAAAGTAGACAAATGAGATTATACTAAGCTAATCAAACTTCTGCACAGCAAAGGAAACAATCAACAGAGTGAAGAAACGTCCTCCAGAAGATGAGAAAATATTTGCAAATTGTCTGACAAGAAATCAATAACCAGGATATATAAGGACCTCAAACAACTCAATAGCGACTCCCCAAAAAAAAAATCTGATTCAAAAGTGAGCACATGATCTGCACAGACATCTCTCAAAAGAAGGCACACCATTGGTCAACAGGTATTTCTATTTATGTAATCAATTGGAGAGTCAGAAGTAGATTTGCACACATGATAAAAAAAATTTAGATAAAAGTATCAAAACAGCTTAATGAGAAGAGGAAACATTTTCTAACAAATGTTGCTGGAAATACTGGGTAAAACTATGAATCAATAATGAATTTCAATCCCTTACACCATTATAATTTGAGTTGGAAAATAGACCAAGTGTTAATAGTTATAACCATATAACTTCTAGCATAAACACAGGAAACTATAATTGTAATCCTGGGAAAAGCAAATACTTCTTAGGACCAAATAAGTAATGTGATAGACAAAATAATGTCCCACGAAGACATATATGCCCTAATTCCTTGAAACTATGAGCATGTTACTTTACATGGAAAGAAGACTTTACAGATGTGATTAAGAATATTGAGATGGGAAGATTATGCCGGATTATCAGGCTGGAACCAATATAACCAAAAGGGTTCTTATATGCGGGATAGAAGAGGGGCAGACTCAGAGTAGATGTGACAAAGGAAGAAAGGTTAGAATAATTCAAGGAAGAGACATGAGTCACAGAATGCAGACAACCTTTTCACATTGGAAAAGGAAATACAATGGATTTTTTAACAGAGCCTCCAGAAGGAGAGCAGTCCAGCAAACATATTTTCATTATTCTAACTTCCAGAAATGTAAAATAATAAATTACTGTTACTTTAAGCTACAAAATTTATGGTAATTGGTTATAGCAGCAATAGGAAACTAATGCAAGCCTACTTAAAAATAAAAACTGATAAATTTCATTTTAAAAAATCACTTTTGGTCCTCCAAAGACATCAATAAAAAAGCAAATTGGTAAATCTCAGACAGGGAATATATAATCACCCCCCCACCACACACTCACACACAGAAAGAGGGAGATATGGAGGGTCAATAGTACTTATAGCAATACACAGCATTACAAAGGAATGAAATGTTAACACATCGCGCAACATGGATTAATCTCAAAGTTATTGTATGCGTGAAAGGAATCAGACACAAGTAGTACATAGTTGAGATTTTTACTAATAAATTTTAAGAACAGAGGCAGAAGTAATATGTGTGTGTCTGTGTATGTGGGGGTGTGTGTATAAAATCAGACAACTCTCATTCAGAACATAAAATAACTCCTATAATCCAATAATAAAAAACAATAAAAATAAATACTATATAGAAGAAGATGTAATAATGGGCAATGCATATGACAATGTTTTCAGCATTATTCATAAATAGAAAAATACAACTTTAAAATTATAATGTCATACATAGTTGATCTATCACCACAAACTCACAAGGATGACTAAAGTAAAAAACTGATGCTACCAAATGTTGATGAAAATGTGGAGCTACTGGAACTATAATTCATTGCTGGTGCAAGTATAAAAGATACAACCAAAGGAGACACAGGATAAGTAGCTTCTATCTGCCCTCAGGTCATTGTGTTGTTTGCCTGAGTCTAGCTGTGTCCAGGGTTTTTATGGGCTTCAGAGTGGAGAAAGTGCATGCTGATTGGTTCCATGGGTGGCCTTGGGCAGCTGAAAAACACCATAAGTTCTCATTCTGGTCTGCAGAACTAGCAGCCTGGCCCCAATGCTTCAGGCCTTCTCTGGCTTGAAGGTGGGGCTTCACCAGGGAACCAACCCTTTCCCTCCAGGAGCCTGTCTGCCTCCTACCACCATCAACCTGCCAAGCAAGGCAACCATGGTGTCCAGGCTGTTTGTGCTGAGGGGTGCCTGCACACTCAAGTGGAGCTTCCCTCACCCCCATTGGCCTCCCTTCTGTGCTCACAGGTGCCCATAGTCCAGAGGGGTCCAAGGCTGCAGGAGCCTGGTATGTCAGCACTGTCCCAAGTGTGCACACACCGTCAGGTCGCAACTGTGCCTGGGCTCAGCATCAACTTTGCTCCAAAATCGGAGTGGGCACCAGGAGCCAGGAGAGGCCAGGTAGCAGAAGCAGTCTGGGGGAAGGGGAGGCTTCCCAGGTTCCCGAGAGCACAGGGATGCCTGGGTCCTCAGCTGTGGCTGGGAGGCTACAGCTTCACCTGGAAGAGTGGAGCTTCTATCCCTCCAACTCAGGAGCGGGCAGGGATCCCACCTGTTTTTGGCTCCCACCTGCTCCATGGAGCACAGAGCCCAGGTGGTGCTTCCCCAACTGCAGCTGGCATTATGGCAGCATCTGCTCCAGATGGGTCACTTCTGCCATCAGTTTCATGGAATTCAGTTAGGAACCAGACATTTTCCAGGCCCCTCTTGGAATCATAGGCACGGATGTGGTATTGGTGCCGCTTGCTTATTTTCTCGATGGCCTCCTCAATGTACTTCACACCTTTCTCCTCCCACATGGCCTTGGTGCTGAAGTTAGTGTGGCAGCCTGCATCATTCCAGGTCCCAGGAATGGGCTTGGGATGAAAGGTTGCTGCTATCACTCCAAAGTCTTCACATACATGATGCAAGATGAAACGGGAGATGATCTTCCATGCTGATTCCTTCACAGGATCCAATTTGGAATTCCCACTGGGCAGGCATCACCTCAACATTAGTCCCTACGATCTTAATTCCAGCATACAAGCAGGCTTGGTAATCAGCCTCCAAGACATTCCTCTTATAGGCTTTGTCTGCTCCCACAGCACCGTGATATGGACCCCGTGGCCCAAAAAAGCAATTGGAAGGCCAACCGAAGGGCTGCCCATCTGTCCCCATGAGTGTATATTTCTGCTCTATGCCAAAGCAGAGATGCTGGTTGCTCACCATGTCCATTATCCATTTACAGATGTGCCTCAAATTGGTCTCTGCAGGCTTTCGATTGTACTTGAAAACTTCACAGAACACCAGCTTGTTAGAGTCCTTGTGGAAGGGGTCCCAAAACACGACAGCAGGCACCATACACATGTTACTGTTGGAGCTTTCAGACTGTAAAGTACCAGAGCTATCAAAATTCCACTCAGGCAACTCTTCCATACACTTCGGCTCACTGTCCAGGGTATGGGTCTTGCAGCACAGTCATTCTGCAGTCACAATTATCCAGATACACATGGCCTGAACCTTCTCACCCTGAGGCAGAGACATGTACACCTGCTTGATGCTTTTGTTAAAGCAGGAACTTGCTGAAGCGGTCATGGTGGAAAGGTGGTCTGTGGGCCGAGCAGGCCGGTAAAGGTGGGGAGAGAAAAGAGGGGGAGCCGTCGTGATGCTTAGACCTCCACTTGTCTCCCATTCTTGGCTCTGCCCCCATAGATTGAAAATCATCTCTAGATTACTTATGATATCTAATTCAATGTAAATTTTATGTAAATACTTCTTATATTGCCTTGGGAATAATGACAAGAAAAAAATCTGTACATGTTCAATACAGACACTTTTTTTTCCCAAATATTTTTTTACTCTTGGTTGCTTAAATCCAAGGATGCCAAACTCATGGACAGGAAGAGTTGATGGTATTTACAACAATCCACAGCTTTACAAAGTAATGAAATGCTAACACATGCGGCGATCTGGATTAAACTCAAAAGCATTATGTAAGTGAAAGGAATCAGACATAAATGGTACATAGTTTTATGCGCGTCCGTGTGAAGAGACCACCAAACAGGATTTGTGTGAGCAATAAAGCTGTTTATTTCACCTGGGTGCAGGCAGGCTGAGTCCAAAAAGAGAGTCAGTGAAGGGAGATAGGGGTGGGGCTGTTTTATAAGATTTGGGTAGGTAAAGGAAAATTACAGTCAAAGGGGGGTTTTTCTTTGGCGGGCAGGAGTGGGGGTCACAACGTGCTCAGTAGGGGAGCTTTTGAGCCAGGATGAGCCAGGAGAAGGAATTTCACAAGATAATGTCATCGGTTAAGGCAGGAACAGGCCATTTTCATTACTTTTGTGGTGGAATGTCATCAGTTAAGGCAGGAACCGGCCATCAGGATGTGTATGTGCAGGTCACAGGGGATATGATGGCTTAGCTTGGGCTCAGAGTCCTGACATTCCTGTCTTCTTATATTAATAAGAAAAATAAAATGAAATAGTGGTAAAGTGTTGGGACGGCAAAAATTTGGGGGGATGGTTTGGAGAGATAATGGGCGATATTTCTCAGGGCTGTTTCGAGCAGGATTAGGGGCAGCGTGGGAGCCTAGAGTGGGAGAGATTAAGCTGAAGGAAGATTTTGTGGTAAGGGGTGATATTGTGGGACTGTTAGAAGAAACATTTGTCATTCAGAATGATTGGTGATGGCCTGGATACGGTTTTGTATGAATTGAAAAATGGAATAAGAGAAGGAGAAAAACAGGTATTAAAGGTCTGAGAATTGGGAGGACCTAGGATATTTAATTAGGGAGTGCCTAAGGAGGTTCAGCATAGTCCTGCCAGCAAAGATTATTTATTTACTTTAAGAGTTAAGAGTGGCAGTTTGGGGACAGCACCAGGAGATATCAGCTGTGATGGCTTGGAGAAACAGTGTAAACTGGCAGTGTAAACAAGAACAGGGCATGTTTGAGTAGTTGAGAACGGTGAATAGGAGTATGACTAGACAGAAGATAGTAGGGATGACAAGTTTTTTGGGGCACAGTCCAAGTTGGTCTGGTGTCTGGAATGAGACTGGGGCCTAATAAAAAGGAGCATCCATACAGGAGCTCAAATGGTCTGTACCCTATAGCATTCCAAGGACAGGCCTGAATTCTGAGAAGGGAAAGCAGTAAAAGTATTGTCTAGTCCTTTTTAAGTTGGCAGCTGAACTTGGTGAGGTGTGTTTTTAAAAGATCTTTAGTCCGTTCTACTTTTCCTGAAGACTGAGGAATGTAAGGGATATAAAGATTTCACTGAATACTAAGAGCCTAAAAAACTGTTTGGCTGATTTGACTAATAAAGGCTGATCTGTTATCAGACTGTATAGAGGTGGGAAGGCTCAACTGAGGAATTATATCTGACAGAAGGGAAGAAATGACTGCGGTGGCATTCTCAGACCTTGTAGGAAAGGCCTCTACCTATCCAGTGAAAGTGTCTACCTAGACTAAGAGGAATTTTAGTTATCTGACTCAGGGCATGTTGAGTAAAGCTAATTTGCCAGTCCTGGGTGGGGGCAAGTCTTTGAGCTTGATGTATAGGGAAGGGAGGAGGCCTGAATAATCCCTGAGAAGTAGTAGAATAGCAGATGGAACACTGAGAAGTTATTTCCTCGAGGATAGATTTCCACGATGGAAAGGAAATGAGAGGTTTTAAGAGGTGGACTAGTGGCTTGTACTATAGCATGGCCTGCCTTTGCTGGTGTGTGGTGATTAGGCCTGGTGGAACTGCCATCAATAAACTAAGTGTGATCAGGGTGAGGAACAGGAAAGAAGAAAATATGGGGAAATGGGGTGAATGTCAGGTGGATCAGAGAGATACAGTCATAGGGGTCAGGTGTGGTATCAGGAATAACGTGGGAGGCCAGATTGAAGTCTGGGCCAGGAACAATGGTAATTGTGGGAGACTTAACAAAGAGTGAGTACAGCTGAAGGAGCCGGGAAGCAGAAAGTATATGTGTCAGGTGTGAGGAAGAAAATAGATTTTGGAAGTTATGAGAACTGTAGAGAGTGAATTGAGCATAGTTTGTGATTTTAAGGGCCTCTAAAGAATTAGGGTGGCAGCAGCCACTGCATGGAGACATGATGGCCAGCCTAAAACAGTAAGGTCAAGTTGTTTGGACAAAAAGGCTACAGGACGCGATCCTGGTCCTTTTGTAAGAATTCTGACTGCACAGCCCTGCACTTCAGCTGTGTGTAATGAAAAGGGTTGAGATGAGTCAGGGAGAGCTAGGGTCGGGGCAGTCTCTAAAGCTGTCTTCAAGGAACGGAAAGAGGAGTGGGGAAAAGATTTAGGATCTATGGGGTCAGCTAGGTTTCTTTTTGTGAGTTTATATAATGGTTTTGTTAGGATGGCAAAACCAGGTATCTAAAGTCGAAAGTATCTAACCATGCCTAGGAAGGAAAGGAGTTGTTGTTTTGTAGGTGTTGGGGGTTTGAGAGATCAGCTGGACATGATCCACAGGGAGAGCACGTGTGTTTTTATGAGAATTATGCCGAGATAGGTAACAGATGAGGAAGAAATCTGGGCTTGACTGAAGTAATGGGGGCTGTCTGTGAAGCCTTGCGGCAGTACAGCCCAGGTAATTTGCTGAGCCTGATGGGTGTCAGGGTCAGTCTAAGTGAAAGCCAAGAGAGGCTGGGGTGAAGGGTGCAAAGGAATAGTAAAGAAAGCATGTTTGAGATCTAGAACAGAATAATGGGTTGTGGAGGGAGGTATTGAGGATAGGAGAGTATATGGGTTTGGCATCATGGGGTGGATAGGCAAAACAATTTTGTTGATAAGGTGCAGATCTTGAACAAACCTGTAAGGCTTGTCTGGTTCTAGACAGTTAAAATGGGGGAATTGTAAGGAGAGTTTATAGGCTTTAAAAGGCCATGCTGTAGCAGACGAGTGATAACAGGCTTTAATCTTTTCAAAGCATGCTGTGGGGTGGGATATTGGCATTGAGTGGGTTAAGGGTGATTAGGTTTTAATGAGATGGTAAGGGGTGCGTGATTTGTCGCCAAGGAAGGAGTAGAGGTGTCTTATACTTGTGGGTTAAGGTGGGGGGATACAAGAGGAGGATGCAAAGGAGGCTTTGGATTGGGAAGAAGGGCAGCAATGAGATGCAGCTGTAGTCCAGGAATAGTCAGGGAAGCAGATAATTTAGTTAAAGTGTCTCAGCCTAATAAGGGAACTGGGCAGGTGGGGATAATTAAAAGGAGTGCTTAAAAGAGTATTGTCTAAGTTGGCACCAGAGTTGGGGAGTTTTAAGAGGTTTAGAAGCCTGGCTGTCAATACCCACAACAGTTATGGAGGCAAGGGAAGCAGGCCTTTGAAAAGAAGGTAATGTGGAGTGGGTAGCCTCCATGTTGACTAAGAAGGGGATGGACTTACCCTGCACTGTGAGAGTTACCTAGAGCATCTGTGATGGTCCTGTAGGCTTCCGAGGCTATCGGGCAGTGTCAGTCTTCAGCTGCTAAGCCGAGAAGATCTGGGAAGGAGTCAGAGAGCCTTGGGCCAGAGTTCCAGGGGCTCTGGGAGTGGTTGCCAGGTAAGTTGAACAGTCCGATTTTCAGTGGGGTCCTGCACAGATGGGAAGCAGCTTAGGAGGAATCCTGGGCTGCGGGCATTCCTTGGTCTGGTGGCCAGATTTCTGGCACTTGTAGCAAGCTCCTGGGGGAGGCGGGCCTGGAGGAACGCCTGGCCACTGCAGTTTAGGCATTTGGGAGTTCTTGTGTGCTGGAGATGTGGCTGGCTGGGGTTTGTCTCACAGTGGAGGCAAAGAATTGCAACTCAGAAATATGTTGCTACTTGGCTTCCTCTACTCTATTATTGTACACCTTGAAGGCAAGGTTAATTAAGTCCTGTTTTGGGGTTTGAGGGCCGGAATTTAATGTTTGGAGCTTTATTTAATGTCGGGAGCAGATTGGGTAATAAAATAAAATGTATATTGAGAGTAAGACGGCCTTTTGACCTTTCAGGGTCTAGGGCTGTAAAGCATCTCAGGGTTGCTGCTAAGGGGCCATGAAATGGGCTGGGTTTTTTATATTTGATGAAAAAGAGCCTAAACACTAACTGATTTGGGAGAGGTCAGATAAAGAAAAAGGAGCATTAACCTTGACTATGCCTTTAGCTCCAGCCACCTTTTTAAGAGGAAATTGCTGGGCAGGTGGGGGAGGGCTAGTCGGGGAAAGAAACTGTAAGCCAGACCAGGTGTGAGGAGGGGAGGTGATAAAAGGATTATAGGGTGGAGGAGTGGAGGCTGAGGAAGAATTGGGACCTAGCCTGGCCTGGCTAGGAGGAGAGAGGTCAGATGGGTCTGTAGAAAAGGAAGATTAGAAAGACTCAGCGATGCTTGGGGTTGGGACTGAGGGGACAGGCAGGAAGGAAAGAAGGAAGATTTGGGATGAGTTGCATTGGGAACAGAGACTAGGGAGGGACTGATATGTAAAAGAATGCCTGGATGTCAGGCTCCTCAGACCATTTGCCCATTTTACAACAAGAATTATTTAGATCTTGTAGGATGGAAAACATGAAAGTGCCATTTTCTGGCTATTTAGAGCCATTGTCAAATTTGTATTGGGGCTAAGCGGTGTTGCAGAAGAAAATAAGATGCTTAGATTTTAGGTCAGGCGAGAGTTGAAGAGGTTTTAAGTTCTTATGAACACAGGCTAAGGGAGAAGAAGGAGGAATGGAGGGTGGAAGGTTGCCCATAATGAAGGAGGCAAGTTTAAAGAAAAGGGAGAGTAGAGACATGAAGGGAAGGGTTCAGGGGTTCTTACCCTCCAGAAAAGTGGGAAAGGGGTCGGGGTATGGAAATAAGGGGTTGGGGTGCAGAAATAAGAGGTCAGGGCATGAAAATAAGGGATCAGGGTGCAGAGATCAGGGGTTGGGGCATGGAAATAAGGGATCAGGGGTTCTTGCCACCCAGAAAAGCAGAGAAGGGGTAGAGACACGGAGTGAAGGGGTTGGAGTTCTTGGCCCTCTGCCAGAAAAGCGGGACTTGGCGCTAAGGGTGAAGGACCAAGGCAGACATCCCTGCGTGGTCAGACACCTCTGAAACGTGGGTGAATAATCAGAAAAGCATCCCTGCAATGATTAAACACCAAGGGAAGTCTGCCTTCCCAAGTCCTTGATGGACACCGGAGTTTTGGGTCCATGGATAATCCACAGATAAAACGTGTCTCCTTTGTCTCTACCAGAAAATGAAAGGAATTGAAATTAAGAGAAGGGAGAGATTGAAGGGTGACGCCAAGATTGAAGGAGAAAGTGGTTGAGGGATAGTGAGAGAGGTTGGAGAAGAGAGTAAGAGGAGGCCACTTACCTGATTTAAAATTGGTGAGATGTTCCTTGGGCTGGTGGGTCTGAGGACCTGAGGTCGTAGGTGGATCTTTTTCATGGAGCAAAGAGCAGGAGGACAGGGGATTGATCTCCCAAGGGAGGTCCCCCGATCTGAGTCACGGCACCAAATTTTATGCGCGTCTGTGTGAAGAGACCACCAAACAGGATTTGTGTGAGCAATAAAGCTGTTTATTTCACCTGGGTGCAGGGGGGCTGAGTCTGAAAAGAGTCAGCAAAGGGAGATAGGGGTGGGGCCGTTTTATAAGATTTGGGTAGGTAAAGGAAAATTACAGTCAAAGGGGGATTTTTCTTTGGTGGGCAGGAGTGGGGGTCACAAGGTGCTCAGTAGGGGAGCTTTTGAGCCAGGGTGAGGCAGGAGAAGGAATTTCGCAAGATAATGTCATCAGTTAAGGCAGGAACAGGCCATTTTCATTTCTTTTGCGGTGGAATGTCATCAGTTAAGGCAGGAACCGGCCATCTGGATGTGTATGTGCAGGTCACAGGGGATATGATGGCTTAGCTTGGGCTCAGAGGCCTGATACATAGTTTAGGTAATCATTCATAAATTTTAAGAAAAGAGGCAGAAGTAACATGGCATGATAGAAATCAGAGCACTGTTTGCCTCTGGAGTGCGGAAAATTGACCCTAAAGGAACGTAAGGAAATTTTCTGAGGTTGGTGAAAATGTTCTCTGAGGAGTGGGCTTAAGAGGTGTGTTCCTTAGTCAAAACACACCCAAGTGAACTCATAATTTACGCATTTACCTTAATTATTTAAAAACAGAAAATAGTATTTACTTCTTAGAAAAGTGTTTCTGGATTTGGTTAGGTTAAAAGAGAGAAGTAATGCATTTCGTTATGAAGCTTGTGTTACTCTTTTAAAATATCTAATATTTTTAATTTTAAAAACTAAGAAATATATGAAGTGTAATAGTAAAGTAAATTAAGTAAAAAGAATAAATTTTCCATGGTAGATATGGCGAGCTTTTAAATAAGCTTTTAACAGAAGTGATTGATTTTAAAATTATATTGTCTTGCCGTTTTGCTTTCATGAGTACTGGCCATTACCCTGGCTTACCCTAGTTTCTCTACTTAAAGGAATACTAAAATGTGTTACAGATAGAATGCAAAATGAAGCAATTTTTTTTTTACATTCAAATTGGATTGTGCACGAAACAATAGCTTTGAAAGTCTGGCTATTAAGAATGGGTTTTCCAAATTCTTCGTTCTCCTTTACCATATCAATAAATGTACTTTAGAGGACTCCAGTAATTCAGGTTTCCTGTGGCAGTAGAGGTATCAGTATTCACCTGTATCAGCTAAACAAAAATAATAAAGGAGTGGAAGCAAAGTCATTTGGTTTGCCAGCTTGAAGGTATTGGGGGAAAGGAAGACAGACAAGTATTCTATGTGAGTCCTGATTTCTCACTTTTTGGAAAAGAGGATGATGCGTTAGATAAATAAAATAACTTTTGGGGGCAAAAAGAAGAGTCATTGGCCCTGCTGTCCATTTAGGACCTGAAAAGAGATCCCTCCCTTTGCAACAAAGAGAAGTCTGCAGTTTGGTTAACAGCAATTTTATAGCACAGCATGATAAGGCAAAGGAAGGCTGTGAAGTTTAACTCTCTGAGCTGCCTATGATTCTTTTGTAGCATAGAGATTGTAGCTCTTGATAAAGAGAATCAGAAAGGGTCAGCAGCAAAGTACCAAGGGGAGACTAACTTAGCAGGTGAAGGGAAAAGTATCCAAATAATTAAGGACTTTTATCCCAATGAGAGACTGTTTGAGAAAAGAACCATTATTAAATTATTATGTTAAAGGACTGCATGACCCAACATTGTTATTCTCCTTGTTAACTAGTGGATGGATGCAGGTGCAGAAAGAAGACCAAATAAGTTATAAAAAAAATTGATCCTAATCACAGTCTTCCAAACATTGATGTCTTAGTGAAGATAAATTTTGCACACCTAATACCCCCATTTAGCCTCATTTTCCACTGTTTGATATTTAAAATATGTAATCTTTTTTTTTAACATTGTAGTTTCTTTATATTTCTTTTGCTCTTTATTCCTTTCTTCTCTGGTAATCTGACTTTGTTCATTTACTCCTCTCTAGAGTCTCCTAACATATTATTAAGAATAAAAGAGGCTAAGATAATGTTTTCAGTATTGGCAAAGAAAGAACTTAAAAGTAATAACTTACATGTGATTTTATTTTCTCTTTTATATACTATTTGTGGATTAAAATCGCAATAACATTTCACAGTTTAACTATAATATTAAAATATTTTTAAACTCGTCTGCTTGTCTCTTAATAGTAGAGGGACAGAGTGAGCAAAATATAGAGGCCCAAACAGATAGAGAGACACTTTCGAAAGTATTTTATCTATCTTATTGCCAAACGCTGGACTCCCAAGACATCACCCAAACAATCTGTTGATGAATAGGTTATTGTTCTGTAATACTGTGTAAGGATCATCTCAGAGAAGAAAGGGCAATGTTGGGATATGTACTGAGATTTTGAAGTCTGATTTAAGGTGGTTCAAATATAGGGGGATTGATCAGAATTAGGTGGTAATAATTATTTAGTAATTTAGGACTGATGGCAGAATAAGGTGAGAATTTTGAGGTGAGAGAATTAAAGCATCTGTTAAAGTAAACTGTCATTTTAATGGTTTATGTTAAAGAGTAAAGTCTCATGAAGTTACTAGAATTAACAATAAAGTTATATTTGCAACCTTTTATCTTCCTAGTTAAGATTATCTTGAAAGAGTGAAGTTTTTTTTAAAATAAAAACAATGTACTGGTCTATTAATATAGATAACAAGCTATATAGATAATTTTGATTCTCACTATGAGAATTAGCAAAATCTGACATATCTGTAAACAATATGATATATGATAAACCTTAAATAAGTTGTAATCAAATATTTAAAGTGTAGTCATATAGATGATATTACTGTTTAAAACTTTCAAATAAGGAAGTTGGCTAAAGGTATGGAAATTAGAAAGTGGAGAATATCAGTTAACAAAGTAGAATATCCTTTAGAATTATTGAAAATATCATGATATTTCTCATGAGGTAAGAGTTCCCCCCAACAACTGTTAATAGCATCCAATCAGAATCTTTATGATTGTACTTCATCTTAGACTAACTCATATTGTAGTAACAAATAGTCACTACACATCTGTGTTGCTTGCAACAGAAAATATGTGTTCCCCTCCTTGTACCTCACCTAGCAGTCCCTTGAGTAGCATGCTGATTGAGCAATATACCTATCATGGATGAACTGCCATTCTGTTCCATATTATTTTTATTCTTTGACCTGGCAAATGGAGAAACCTCCTTCTGGGGCATTGCTTTTCCAATACAAAAAAAAAAAAAAAAAAAAAACTCTGAAAGCTCCTGTTTTGAAGTGACACATGGTATTACCAATCAGAATTCACTGGCCAAAGGAATTCACTGGTAAAGCTTGAGATCAATGTGTGTGAGAAAGGATAAAGCTGAAGATGAGAGGATGGATATTCTTCCCATAGGAAAGACAGTAAACGTTTTTAAAATATTGCAGATTTCCACAATGACCAACTATTAGATGCTACTATATAGGGTAGAATTAGAAGATGTCTAATGTATCATCCATCATTATTGCTTTAAAGAAGCTTGATTTCTTCATATATGAAATGGTAATAAATTACCATATTATTTTATATTTCTGAGGATTAAATAAAATCTTGTAAATGTAGTTGTTGACACTAGCTTATGATTTCCTAGAATGATAGAGCTAAATAATTGAAAGTTTATTATACTCATAGATAAGCATGACATTGAAGTAGCATTTTGTTTTGAAATTTATAGTTATAATTTTACCACACATTTATTATGGTTTTAATATAGTTTCTCTATCAAAACATTCAAAACATAAGATGATAAAATATTTAACAATAATGGAAGACATGAGTTTATTAAAATGATCTAAACATCTATTAGAACATCTAATAAAATCTCAAAAGTTTTGAGTTTGTGTACTATCCCTCAGAATTTTAGTTTGAAATGGGTCAGTATTATCATTCATGTTAAATATGAACAAATAAAAATATAAGCAGTTTAAATATCTGAAAACCATATGTCATGCCAAAGATCAAGTCCTTGGAGTCTCAAAGCAGTTTTATGCAGTGAATTTAATTTTTAGTTTTAAAATTTGGATTTAATTGAATTGGCTTAAGAACAACCACATTCATCATTAGATGAAAGATGCAGTACCCAAAAGCAATTGGTAGATTTTTGAAATGTAACACCATTTGACTACTGGCTGGATATTTTTGCCTCAGATTTTTTGTTGTTTCCCGTTTCCATGTCCTGTGGCATTTTAAATTTGGAGAGAAATGTAGATAAATTTATATAAAAATTTTAAAAGAAACCTATATTGGGTAAATACATATGTTTGTAAGATATTTCTAGGGAGGGCATTTAGCTACATTAATTGTCATAATCCAACTTAAATTATAAAGTTAAAATTATAAACTTAACAAAAAATAAAAAAAGTATTTATATATGTCAAAAATGTAAAGATAATGGAAGTTTCTATGTGAATAAACTGGATGCAAATCACTCCAATTGACAGGAGAAAAATGAAACATTTCAATAGTATTGGAAATTTTATTGTCATTTCAGAAGAGAGTCAAGAGGCATGCTTTACTTACCTGAGTGTTTGTTTCAATTTTCTACCTTTTTATGTTGACTACATAAAATATGCCAGAACAATGTGAAACAGTTTTTATTAATTTAAAAAAAGATGTTCTTTAAGTGTATCCATTGAAATCCAGTAACCAACCGAAGTATGTAGTCTTCTTTAAGTGAGTAATGATGAATTCTACTTTCCCAACACTCCCTAAGGTAAAACCCTAAATTTACTATTTTATAGCCCTTTACAAAATATTGAAAAGGAATAATATTAAATAAAAATATCTTAATTCATAGTTATTTTTCCATCAGACAGTCCTTGCAAATTTATTTTTAAGTCTAATCCTCAAGTTTATATATGACTAGAAATACGCAAACTCTAACACAAAAAAGCCACAAAACACCTCTACTTAGTCATAGAAATTTAGCACTGGTATTTTTTCTTTTTTAACCAAGTGAATATAAATTCAACTTATGTTGACAAATTTATCAGCTTGGACTTTAAAAAAACAAAATCTTTTTAAAAGAACACGAATAACAAGAATGCCCAAATTGCAAATAGTTTGCTTACCTCCTCCTAACCACAGCCCCTAATCTCAGTTTCCCTACAAGTTTTATTTGTGTGTGTGTGTGTGTGTGTGTGTGTGTGTGTATAATCCCCAGAAACCAATCATTTTAGTCGTTTTTAATAACCAGTCCAGTATTTTTTTTTCTCTTTCTGGCTGTCACATGTTAATATCCCCTGTTCCTGAGTCTTCTTCAAGAAACTTGTAACCACTACAGACTTTCAAAAGTCACCATCATGAGAAAGTAAAGGCCATTCAAAAATTACAATCCAAATGTTCATACAGCCTTCTGGGTGTCATTAAAGAACTAGAGTATATAAAGAGCCAGGCAAGCTAGTCACTTCCCTTACTACAGGAACATATTATCACCCAGGCACCTTCTTATTACTAGCTTCTCACAAGATGTCACTGGGCTTCCAGACCTTGATTCTTCAGAAGTAAAAAAATTGGATGAAGAACCAATGCTGAAGTGTCGACTCTATTAACCTCCTTGCTCTTCAGTTTTGATCCATCTATCTCAAGTGTACTCTAATTTATTGAAATAAGACTTGCCGGTCTTCATACTGTGTGCCTCATACTTGTGTGTGTTCATGTGTTCATGTGCCTGAATACATGCATGCATGTGCTTTTGTGTGGTATTGGTGATAATTTTGGTTTTGTTTTCTTCATCACTAAAGCAGTAATTTATATAACCATGCAGTGTTCTGAAATATTTCCATTTCTGTTTGCTTTGTTTTTGTATACCTAGAAAACCTAATGATTGTTTTTCCAAGGCATCAGTTTCTCCAAATTAAAAAAATTTTCAATCGCTAATAAAGTAGAGAACTGTTAGATACATTAAACTTTTTTTCTCTCTATATCACTCTGCCAACTCCAATGCCAAAGGTCTCTGACCAAGGTTTGGCCAAAGGTCGAGGGATGTGTGCTCATTTCATCTTCAGTAATCTCTGGAAGAAGTGAATAATTGCTCTTAAGACTATAGCACTTAAAGGTTGGCTATAAAATATCCATATTTATTTTTAACATGTAAGTCAAGCAACCACAGTCTTTTTTTATCTTTCATAAGTTATGGATAAATACGGACTTTTCCTTTGGTTTGATAACATTTCTTTAGATGATATTTTCTATTATCCCACTTAATGTACTTTTCAAAAATAGATATTATTTGGAGCAGTTTTATGTTCACGGCCAATGTGACAGGAGAGTTTCTATCTACTGTCTGTCCCCATCACCACACAGCCTCTTCCACTATCAACATCCCATACAAGAGTGGTACATTTGTTCTAATCATTGAGCCTACATGTATGTCATTATCACCCAAGTCTATAGTTTACATTAGGGATATGTCTTGCTATTGTACCTTCTTTTTGTTTTGACAAATGTATAATGGCATGTATCCACTATTACAGTGGCATGCAGAATTGTTTCACTGTCCTAAAAAATCTTCTGTGTTCTCATCCCTCCCTCCCCACTAATGCTGACAGCCACTGATCTTTTTACTCTCTCCATAGTTTTAGTTTTTCCAGAATGTTTTATAGTTGAAATTAAACAATATGTAACCCTTTTAGATTGGCTTGTTTTCACCTATAATTAATAATATGCATTCAAGTTTCCTCTATGCCTTTTCCATTGCTGAAAGTTCATTTCATTTTAGCACTGAAAAAAATGTTTAATTGCCTGGGTATACCAGTTTATTTATTCTTTCACCTACTAAAGGACATCTTGTCTTGATTCCTTCCAAGTTTTGATAATTATGAATAAAGCTGCTGTAAATATCTGTGTGCAGGTTTTCTGTCTATACACATTTTCAACTCATTTGGATGAATATCAAGATATAATATTGCTGGATCAGGTGATATGAGTATGTTTAGTTTTCAGAAAAATTCCAACTTCTAAAGTGGAAATTTTCACTTATAAAGAGGCTGTATTATTTTGCATTCCCACAAGCAATGACTGAGAGTTCCTGTTGCTTTTCATCTTTGTCAGAATTTGATGGTATCAATATTTTAGATTTTTGCCATTCTAATAGATGTGTAATGATATTTTTTATTTCAACATGCAATTCCTTAATGACTAGATGTGGAGCATCTTTTAATATGCTTATTTGCTATCCATATATCTTCTTTGGTGAGGTGACTGCTCAGATCTTTTGCCAATATCCTTTTCATAAATAGTCACACAACAAAGCTCAGCCAGCATTTATTATCAGGAGAAAAGTTGTTATCCCAGAGGTTTATACTAGCATGAATTTTATCACTTTATGACAAATATATTTATTGTGAATGAAAAAATGTCTTTTTAAAAGAAAATTTACAGCTATCTTGTTTTTGGCATATTAAAATAGGGCAATAAACTCTTTGGCGTGAACATGATAATTTATGAGGAGGCAAAGATCAAGCATCTTAAGTGATAAAAGATGAGTAGTTCTTATCTTTCCCAGATTACGTTCACAAAGGCAAATGTGAAGCAGAGTCAGTTTCACACTGAATTTCTTTAATAGATAAAATTTTTGATGCAGCATTAGAAAAAACAATAAAAGTTAAGTTTGGGAAAAAATATAGATTCATGAAGACAATAAACTTATAAAGACTCAGTCAGTACTGCGGTTTTCCTATGGTGTGCAGAGATCACAGTTCAGTTTAATGCCAAAGCATAACCTTTTAAAATAATGCCCTAGCTTTATTAATGTCATTTCAGTAAATGCTTAAAAAAGGCAATAATTATCTGGGTTCTTTTCTGTAAGATAATAAACATAAATGAGATAGTGCTGTTTGAATTGGGACAAAAAGAGAAAATGGTGAACAGAAGGGCCAAAAGTAGGGAAGGACTTCGTGGGAATTTCTAAGGTTATAATATGGAATCATATGGCACAATTTAGTTAATAGAACTTACTCAAAAGCTAAAATATTTATTTTATATGAAGTGTAGGTATAAGCTACTTTTTTCCCCAAATGCTTAGCTCTATCAAATTTCCAGCTAAATTACCAAATCATATATTTACCTTCAATATTTGATAGTTATCTTCATCTTTTCTATAATTTTTAAAAATTTGATATTTTAATGCACTCATATATGTCAAATATATATAGTATTTTATAATAAAATAGCTATGTACCTTAATATATAATGCCATAATATTCCATTTTAACTTTCTTCTTTGTAAGACTATGATTAGAGATAAATAAAATGCTATGTTGTGTTATTTTAAAAAATATTTTGGCTCTAGATATTTTACCTTATTTTCTTATTTTAACTATGATTGTGAAGGAAATAAAAATATTTTTCCTCAAAATATACTTCATTGACATATTTTGAGATGACTGTTCAAGAGCCAGCAAACAGATAGCCCTGTAAAGCTGGTTTTTGTTGGGGAGATTTACAAATGTAGAAAATCTACATTGATGCAGCCAGGCCTTCCCTTGTTCAGATTTGGAAAAGATTCACTGAGATTCTGATACCTCTAAAAGTCTAATAAAAATATTTATCATTCTTCTCTCTAAAAGTACTACCTGTGAGGTTTCACATTCATGACAAAACCACTTTTACTAGCCAAGCCTCCTCTTCTCTCTCGCCCATAACCTGTCTTGCCATTATAACCTGATTTTGGTCATGCTCTGAGCTCCTATTCTTTCTGTAACTTCAAGATAGCATATAAGCTTCCACACACCATGTGGGGGAACAGTAAGTCACTCTGTGATTCCTCCCCTTTATACATTAATAATTTTTATGCCTTTTCTCCAATAGATATGCCTTTTCTGCAATAAATATGGGTTCTGTGAGTTAATTTTTCAACAAAACTTAAAAAAGCAAAATAAAATGTTTCTCTTGGAATCTACAGTTGGTCATGTAAAAATTTTTGTCAAAAGTAAAATTTTTTGTATAGGCATACTTCAGAGACATTCCTTTTTCACTTTCAGACCACCGGAATAAAACAAATATTGAAATAAATGAGTCACAGTAATTTTTTTGGTTTCTCGGTGATATAAAATTGTGTTTATACTATACTTTATTCTAAGTGTGTAATAACATTGTGTCTAAATAATGTACACACCTTAGAGAAAAAGGTTGTTGTTAGCTGTTTGTTATGAAGACTTGATTTTGTAATTGTCTTACAGTGTCAATGTTCTATGTAATTAAATTTATTTTTGTGGTGACCAGTAATGGTCTTTTGTTACCGTGCTCAACACTCCCTTAAGGACCTCTTGTAAGGCAGATCTGGTAGTAATAAATTCCCTTAGCATTTGCTTTTTTGAAATTTATTTCTCCTTCCCTTTTGAAGCTTAGTTTTGCCAAAGATGAAATTCTTGTTTGGAATTTATTTTGTTTAAGATTGCTGAAAATAGCTCCCCAATCTCTTCTGGTTTGTAGGGTTCTGCTGAAAGGTCTGCTCTTAGCCTAATGGGGTTTCCTTTGTAGGTGACCTGCCCCTTCTCTTTTGCTGCCTTTAATAATTGTTCTTTCATGTTGACATTGGAGAATCTGATGACTATATGTCTTGGGGATGGTCATCTCATATAGTATCATAGAGGGCTTCTCTGTATTTCTGATATTTGAATGAAGATCTCTAGTGAGGTCGGGAAAAATTTTTTGAATAATATCCTCAACTATGTTTTCCAAGCTGCTTGCTTTCTTTCTCTCTCTTTCAGGGATGTCAATAAATTGTAGATTTAGTCTCTTTACATAATCCCATATTTCTCAGAGGTCGTCTTCATTTGTAATTCTTTTTTCTTTATATTTATTGGACTGAGTTAATTTGAATAACTGGTCTTTGAGCTCTGAGATTCTTTCCTCAGCTTAGTCTATTTCACTGTTAATACCTCTGACTGTATTTTATAATTCATGTAGTGAGTTTTTCATCTTCCTTAGTTCAGTTGGTTCTTTCTTAAAATAGCTATTTTGTCTCTCAGGCCTTGTATTGTTTTATTGAATTCCTTAGATTTCCTGGATTGTGTTTCAACTTTCTCCTGAATCTTAATGATCTTCATTCCTATCCAGATTCTAATTTATATGTCTGTCATTTCAGCCTTTTCACCCTGTTTATGAACCATTGCTGGGGCACTAGTGCAATTGTTTGGAGGTAAGACGACATCCCAGCTTTTTGAGTTGCCAGAGTTCTTACATTGATTCTTTCACTTATGTGGGCTGATGTTCTTTTAATCTGTGAAGTTTCTATCACTTTGATGGTTTTTTAAAAAATATATTTTATATTATTTGATGACCTTAAGGGTTTGAGTGTGGTATAATGTGGGTTCAGCTGACTCACTTCATTTCTGAAAGATTTCAGGGGTCAAAGGCTCAGTTCAGAACTTCTGGCCTGCCTGCTCTAATCCTGGGGAGCTGATACCTGGCCCACTGCTTTTTTCTATGGCCCCTCTAGGTTAAGCAGCTGCTCTGCTGGAGGGGCCTAGGTGTTCCAAATCTGCTGGCTACAACACTCTTACAGGAGGTCCTGGCCAAAGCACTGATGTGGTGGCAGTGGGGTCTGCACTTACACAAGGTGCAAGTAGTAGCAGTGGCACAGCAGAGTGCATGTGGGGCAGTGGGCCAGGGTGTCAGTGGAGGCAGAAGGGGGTGTCCATGCATGCATACTGGCAAAAGCAGCAGCACTGTGAGGTGTATGCATGTGTCAGTGTGGGTGGGGTATTGGTGTTCCTGCGGGGGCAGGTTGCTGATGGGGTTGGGGGGTCAGCAGGATGCACATGTGCTGATACAACAGTGGAGGGCTGCAGGCAAGTGCACACCAGCAAAGCGGTGGGGGGAGGCTGCAATTAGTGGGGCTGTGGGTGAGTATGTGCACTTGATGGGGGAATCATCTGCTGGAGTTCTCTGATGGTATGACATGGTCTGCCATCAAAGGAGCTATGGCAGCAGCTGCCAGAAAGCATCCTGTTTGGGCATCCAAAGCTACACTGGAAGTAGGCCTGGCCAGGCAAGGACCCAAGGAGAGTCTGGCAAACAAGGGGGCATTTATATCAGACTGCCTGCGTACTATGGGCAAGATAGCCCTGCTCTGTTCAGATGCAATAGTAAAGAAAGTCTAATGCCATCTAGAGGAGCGTGATGATCCCTGGGGAATGGGTGTTCCTGGCCATGCTCCCATGACAGCCATTCCTGTGCCAAATCCTCTGGGCTCTAAACAGGCTGCAGACCTTTCCCTGTGACCTCTCCAAAAATCACTCCCTGTCAGTTTAAGTGTCTATGGGTGTTGTGGGGCCTCCTCCAGCCAAGATTTCAGAGGTCACTGGCAAGGATTGGCCACTCCTGGCCTATTTATCTCACTCCTTCTCAGCTTCCCCCATCTTCAGCCCAGAGTCTGCATCCTGCCTCTGTCCACTCTCAATGCCTTTCTTTCAAATATCTGTTCAGAGTGTGCCAGTCTTCTTGATGGTCTGGTCTCTTGGTAGGTGATGGACTTCCTGGCTGCATCTAGTCGGCTATCTCAGCTCCCAATATCAGGCTGTTTCATCTTCAATGAAAATTTGTTATTTTGTTTAGCCTCTTTCATCAGTGATTTTAGCTAAATCTTCTGGATAACTTGCTACAGATTCTACATCAGTACTTGCGGCTTCACATTGCACTTCTATATTATGGATATGGCTTTTCTCCTTAAATGTTATGAACCAAGCTCTGCTAGCTTCGAACTTTTCTTCTGTAGATTCCTTACCTCTCAGCCTTCACAGAATTAGAGAGTTAGGATCTTACTTTGGATTAGGTTTTAACTAAAGGGCATGTTGTGATTTTAACTTTCTCCATGTCAGCAATAAGACTGCTTCACTTTCTTATCATTTGTGTTTTCACTGGAGCAGCACTTTTAATTTCCTTTAATAACTTCTCCTTTGCATATACAACTTGGCTAAGTGGTGCAAGAGGCTTACCATTCAATCTATTTTGGCTTTTAACATGTCTTTCTCACGAAGTTTTTTCATATCTATCTTTTGATTTGAATTGAGAGACATGTGACTCTTCACTTGAATAATTAGTGGCCATTGTATGGTTATTAATTGGCCTAACTTTAATATTGTTGTGTCTCAGGGAATAAGAAAGCCTGAGGAAAGGGAGAGGGACAGGAATATGACTGGTCCATGGAACAGTCAACACACACACAACATTTATAATTATACTTTGCTTTCATATATGGGCATAATTCATAGTACCCCAAAACAACTGCAATAGTAACATGAAAGATCACTAACCACAGATCACCATAATAGATAATGTTGCAGTCTCCTTACTCCTTAGTTCAGCTAAGTTCAAGTTCTTGTCCCTCGACCAAGAATAATAAGGCACAGGGACACTGGAGAGTGAGAAATGCAGAGTAGGGTTTATTAAGCAAAAGAAGAGCTCTCAGCAGTGAGAGGGGACCTGAAGACGGTTGCCAGATATGGGGCTGAGTTCTGAGACTTTTATGTGGCAAAGACAGGGAAGTCTTCTGTGGGTCCCACACTAAGGAGAGGGATAATGTTCCCCCCTGTGGGTGTTGCGTCTTCACATGCCTGGTGTTGGCTATAGCTACTCCTTCTTGGTTATTACCCTTGAGTGTATAAGTGAAACCCATGTCAGTGGGGCAAGCTAAAACTATAATGCTAATATCATGTTAATGATATTACAATGATCTGGGTTAAGTCAAGGACATTTAAGTTGACTTATTGTACCTGTGCCTAGGCCTGGGGCAGTCCCTTCTGAGAAAACATAATGGCATTAGAGGAATTTCTTAACCATATTTATTTCCACTAGCTGCAGGGCAGTGAGGGTGTGGTCCCGTGGGTGTTTTTCCTCTCCCAAGACTCTATCTGCCTAGTCATCCGCTAACTACCTCCTCTCTTGATAATAATAATACCATTTGAAATATTATTAGTATTATTAAAATATGATGCAGAGACATGAAATGAGCATATGCTATTGGAAAAAATGACACTGATAGGCTTGCTTACTGCAGAGTTGCCACAAATCCACTTTATAAAAAGCACTTAGCTGTAAAGCACAATTATGTGAAGCATAACAAAATGAGTAATGTCTATACAACAAAAGCTTTTTTCTCTAATTTTTAATTTTAAGTTTTCTTTGTTACATAATCATTTACACATATATAAGTGTTTCATGTTACAGAGGAATACTGATTCTCATGTACAGTCTTTGTGGGTGATTTTAACCAAATATTTTTCTTTAAAGAATTAGGAAAAAGTACCATAGAAATTAACCTCTCAGAAATAATTAACATACAATTACATACATGAGTCAATACAAATGAATTGACAAGGTGAATTTCTCAATTAAAAAAACAAAGAAGCTTAATATTATAATTAAGAAGAACTCTAATGTGTTTATAACAATATTGTACATAATGGAAAGACACCTGGTACAGTGTTACATTTTATCTGCATTGTTATTGAAAATATAGGAAATAACATTAACATATTCCTCTGTATTTCACAAGCAATATTATTGGGATGTAATAGACTTTTGTATATATTGTACATTTTCCTTTATAAACCTTGAATATATTTGATTACTCCTCATCTCATTCAATCAGTCATCAAGTTTACTTGATTCTACTAGTGATCTATCTTTCCCTAATTCTCTTGCCCAAGTTGCAGTCCTTACTGTATGGTTTCACAGGCGTAACTGCTGAAAGTGGGGTGGTACTATCCCCAACCATTATTGTATTGGAATCTATCTGTCCCTTTACTTCTAATAATATTTATATATTTGTGTACTTGGATGTTGGGTGCATGTATATTTACAATTGTTCAATACTTTTGCTGAATTAACTCATCTATCATTATACAATGACCTTCTTTGTTTATTTTCATGTTTCTTGACTTAAAACTTTGTCTGGTATAAGTATAGCTACTCTTGAATGCTTTTTGTTTCCATTTTCATGGAATAGCTTTTATTTTCCCCTCACTGTTAGTTTATATGTGTTTTTCCAGGTGAAATTAATTTTTTTGTAGGCAGCATATAATTGGGTCTTAGTTTAATTTCTTTGTCTTACTCATTTGTGTATCTGCTGTTTCAGTGAGTTTATACTATAGTGTGTTTTTACGATGGTACATATTTTGCTTCCAGATGTAGGATTCTCTTAAACATTTATTTTAATTTTTTAAATGATGTGGTCTAACTCTTTCACCTAGACTGGAGTGGAGTGGTATGATCACAGCTTACTGCAGCCTCAAACTTCTGCACTCAAGTAATCTTCCCACTTCAGCCTTCTGACTAGCTGGGACTACAGGTACCCGCCACCATGCCTGGCTTCCATAAGCAGTTTTTTTGTAGAGTCAGCCCATTGATAATTAATTCTTTCAGCACAAATGAGCTCCAGCATTGTCAGTGGCAGGGCAGTTGGACCACTCTCTTGGTCCTGGGTGGGACATGTGGGAACTGGTGGTATTGGCAATGGTCTGGATGGAACAGTCCCCAGGTCTCCAGGTAAGGCACATGAGGACCAGCGAAATCTGTGAGCAGGTCCTGGAGCCCTCAGGCAGATCATGCCAATATTCCCTTTTTAAATAAATGCGTAGTCAATGCCTATGACTACAATGTAAAATTACAGCTTTTAGATGTGAATTTTTAAGAAATATATGGAAATAAATTTATTGACCCCTTCATTTCTTTATTCACACAACAAAGACCACCATTAGAAGTATGGAAACAATTATAGGCCCATAATATCTAGTTGCTTTTGGAAAAGTATAACATTGTAGTAAGGAGTGTATGTAACTTGGTGCCCAATAAAGTCATATAAAAATAATTTGAATTATCCCAGCCACTTCTATATGAAAGCAAATAACCTTGAACAAGTTTTCACTATTGTTGGGGCAAAAGTTCTTTTGATATTTTTTCTTCTTAAGTCAGGAGGAGGTCAATTCTATTAGATTAATACTTTGATAAAGAGACATAATTCACATTATTTTTAAAGCTGAGAGCCAGTTAATCTGGAAGGTATGTGTGAATTTGCCTGAGAGTTAAGAAGCTTCTTTTGAGGAAAATGGACTAGCTTTTGAATCTTGTTTTGTTAAGATAATTATTAATAGAAATGTATTGTGGTTCAATGATGGGATGAAGAATCACTCATAAGAAAGCTCATGGAGGTTAACAAAAGGTAATTTATGATAAAGGAAGATGGGTGTCAGAGTTTCTTCAGTGACAGCTGATGTCCAAAAAGCAGGTGGCTGAAGCTGGGAGCCTGTCCAGTTCTAGCTACCTTAGCAAGAATTGGACACGGGAAATAATTGCTGAATATTTTCATATAAACTTCAAGAGTCCAAAGCACTGAAACCTCTGTATTTTCAACATCATTTCCACAATATATAAATATTTTGAAGACAGACAAATATTTTTACCAATATTTTACCATATTTTTGTTTGGTCCAATTACCAAATATTTTACCAATACTGAGAAATGTAGTATTCCTTAAATAGACCTTTTTCATGTTCTTTTATTGAATGTTTCTAACTCTACATATTTCTGTTTGTTTCTTGGCTCAGTAAATCTTTACCATATAACTGAATCACCTGGGTTACAGATACCTAACAGCTTAAAACCTATTAATAGACTAGTCATTGATTATGGCTCTCTTAAGAGACAGAGGAGTTGACCATAGCTAATAAGAAAGGTAATTTTAAGGGAGTCTATAACCTTAGCTTGAGTGACTTGTTTTTAAAAATAATCTGCTTTTTTACTGTTTTATTCAATCAATCAAACTAGTTTATGCCAATAAATTTTACCAAAGGAAAATAATTAGTACTTGATTAACCAATAAGGCAATAATAGATGTCTTCATACATGTAATAGAAGTATCTCACTATATGGCTAATTCTAACCTGAACAACAATTCACTGTATTAGATGAAAAATATTGCTGATAAAATGGAGTATCTGAGAGTTAAAGAAAGATCAATAATACTGAGAAATGTAGTATTCCTAAAATAGACCTTTTTCATGTTCCTTTATTAACTGTTTCTAAGTCTACATTTTTTTGTTTGTTTCTTGGCTCAGTAAATC
The DNA here is from genome assembly GCF_000001405.40 of Homo sapiens. NCBI lineage: Eukaryota > Metazoa > Chordata > Mammalia > Primates > Hominidae > Homo > Homo sapiens. Next base: position 194,152,259 of record NC_000002.12, read on the forward strand.
TTTAACGTATGACTTAATCACCTGGGTTATAGATACCTAAGAACTTAAAATCTATTAATAGACTAGTAGTTGATTATGGCTCTCTTAGGAGACAGAGGAGATGAACACAGCTAATAGGAAAGGTACTTTGGAGGTAGTCTATAACCTTAGGTAATAAAATTGATAAAAATTCCATCAATGTTTAATATTAATGGTTCTTGAAAGATTATTGTAGCACAGAAAGCTGGCTCTTCAAGATTTCTTTGGTTTTGCCTGTGAAGTATCCTAAATAACACATAAGGTAAACTTTATTAACTCAACATATAAGGAACAAACAGGGATTATCTGACATATTTTATTAAAAATAAAGTACTACATACTGCATATAGTCACTTGGAAAATTTTCATTGCATTGAATTACGTCTATTTTTTAACTGCACCAGTACTGTTTTTAAAGTGTAATACATGAATGAAAAGATGCTATTTAAAATGCATGGTTGTGGTCTCTCATAGTTTTTGTTGTTTTTGGTTTGTTTGTTTTTGTAAATAGACGAGGAAGAAAATATGATTGGATGTCTTTCTAATTAGTCACATGAAAAATGTTAGAAAAAAACTCAATTTTAAATGTAGAGAAATTTAACATATTAACTGCCACACTGCTTCTTAGAAAAATATAAGAATGGCTGGGCGCAGTGGCTCATGCCTGTTATCCCAGTACTTTGGGAAGCTGAGGCGGGTGGATCATCTGAGGTCAGGAGTTCAAGACCAGTCTGGCCAACTTAATGAAACCCCATCTCTACTAAAAATATGAAAATTAGCCAGGCATGGTGGTGTGCCCCTGTAGTCCCAGCTACTCGGGAGGCTGAGGCAGGAGAATCACTTGAACCAGCAGGCGGAAGCTACAGTGAGCCGAGACCTCACCACTGCACTCCAGCCTGGGTGACATACTGAGACTCCGTAAGAATTAGATTTTTTTAAATACATATTTTCAAAGGTTTCTAAATACTATCATTCAAACCCCTGCATGAATTTACCACATGTGTTTAAGATTTATGACTTAGATATTTCAAAATTTTGGTGAAGAATCAAAGCAGATTGCTTATTTCACAAAACTCTAACTCCTAGGGTAAAGTGGTTGACCCGATAAGATGAAAATTCATTCCATTTTTTACCCTAGGGGGAAGGATCTAGCCACTGAGAGACAAGAATCCTTAGAAGGCTAAAATGAGTTTTTCTACTTTTTTATACGCGTTTAAAATTGTAAAATAAGCATGAATGAATGATAAATAAAAATTTTTATTTAATTACTATTCAAATCTATAATTTAAATTTAATTTCATTAACTCTAATTTGATTAAGTCAAGTTTAATAAAATGTTCATGGTTTTTATTTAATTACTATTAATCCTTATTGATTTTTTTTTTACCATATATTCTAAAATTTGGGGAGTTACACTTAGTTTGGTAGGAATAAAATGTCCCCTATTGCCCACCAATCTAGATGCCCATGTACAGGCTATGCCTTGAGTTACCATATCCGCTGGTCGCATTTTTCTACCACAATACACTGCTTTTGTAAAGACTTTATCATTATTATATTGAAAAAATTTTAAAAGCAAAAGTTCAACACATAATATTATAAAGAAATTAGTGTGGCTAACATCCTGAAGTAACAATGTTAATCTGAAGTAATTTTTGCATAAGAACATATCATAAAGTAAAATAGAATTAAAGATAAATTGAGATTTATTTTTTTTCCGCAGTACAATTTCCTTTTCCTAAGAAACTTCCATAATTGACATGTATTTTTCTATTTTAATTTTTATATTCTCTCTCTCTCACACACACACACATATTTGTAGCCATTTATGCATATATATGTAGTTTATGGAGACATATAAATTTATGTGACATGCATTGACAAATATATGTTTGCTAGGTACATTTAACATATATTCTATGAATACACATATGTATATATGCAACCATAAATAATTGTTAGACTGTTTTTTTAAAAAAATTATATAAATTATATCAAATTGTGCACATCATTTCTCAACTTACCTTTTGTTTTGGAAATCTATCTAGGTTTATACATAAAGATCTAGCTAATTATTTTTAATTACCACATAATATTTTGCCACAGTAATATTCAATAATTTTTTTATTTCCTTATTAATGGAGAGTTATATTAGTCATATTTTTTAAATTCTTATAAACAATAATTCAGGTCCTTGCATATGTTCCCTGAAAAAGAGCATATATTTCTGTTTCACAGTCTTCAGTTTCTTCAGTACATTTTATACATTATTCCATAAATTATAAGTCCAGCTCACCCATTATGATACTTTTGAGCTTCTTTCCTTGTTAGGCTCCCAGAATGCTGTCTGGCAGAATGAGGCAGGAGAATTGTAAAATTTCTCTAATTCTTACTTGCCCATGATAAAGGAATTAAGAGAATAGTGCAATTTTTAGTTTTCCAATTTAATGACCAAGTTATATCATTTTCTCTGATGGTAAGTGTGAGAAACACATTCACCTGTCTGAACCCAAAGAATGGACTTGGAGACATGAATAACAGTGGAAGCGAGACTTTTAATGGCAGTCTTGCAAGATTGGGTATCTGGTAGGCATGCACACCTGGGGCAGTTACAACAGGTAATTTATCTCCTAGCATGCAAGTCCCTCCCTCAGTTCCTTATTCGTTGAGTGTATGGGGTTACAATCTTCCAGGACATCGTCTAACTTTTATTATCCCCCTTATAAGGTTATACCCCAGTCCCTTTCCCCACTTAAGTTTTATTTCCCAATAAAAAAACTTACTTCCCTTTTGTGGGCTGACCCCTCCTCTACATTCTGTTCACCTTTCATAACTTTCTAGGTGCACAGGGCATGCAGTTTGTCACATCTGCAGGCTGACTGCCAGTAGTTAGATTGATCATACCTTGAAAATGGACTATTTAAAATATTTTCTTACAAATTTCCTCCTCTTTTCTATTTACTTCCTTTGGTCTAATTTTCATCTAAACCCTTTCGGTCTTTGAATTGCTCTGGGAGTAGTTTACTTTCTTTCTCCTAGAAGAGTGAATTTAATTAGGTTTCTAATAGGTTATTTTACTGGTAAGTCATGGGCATTTGTTTATTAATAGTTGTTTCAATTAATCTCTGTGCTAGTAATCTCACACAAGAGATAATACCACATCCCACTGATGTTATGACTACTGCCACAATTATGAGGGATGTAAAGATTGAAGCTATTATGTCTTTTCATTTTCCAAACCAACCTTCTAGCCAACCCGTAAATGGGTCATCAATTCCAGCATTTCCTGCCAGTTCGTTGGCTAGAGTTGTCAGTCCTTGTAATGCTTTTGTGATGGTCCCATCTGGAGCAGTATAGCTGGGAATATGAAAGTGCAACATTTTTTACCCAGCATAACACATATGCCCCGTTTTTCTGCTAGTATTATGTCTAGCACAAGCCTGTTTTCCCAGGCCATTTGGCTGGTGGCATCTAACTGACTAGCCACCTTTTCCAGGAAATCCCGAGTATAATTGATGAATCTCTGTTGATTATAATAGATGTAGTAAATCCAATCCACATTCTTATTAATAGTTGACCACCAGAAGAGTGCTGACTCAAACCCAGCAGCTATTTGCTTTCAGGCCTTAAATTTATTAGGCATTCCCCTAGGGACGCCTATTGAGTTAACATGTATATTGGAATCAAAAGAATTTGTCAAATCTCTTTGGTTTTTATGACCATGTGTATTTTCATGTATCTTATGGAATGCCAGGATGAAGGCAATGGTCATTTGGACTAAAGCCCAAGTCCTGGTTCAATTGAATGGCAACAGGTTATGGAGGTTTATTTTCCCACAATACCACCAGACATCAGTCTGGGGTATATGGAGAGCTGAGTAATTGCCATTGCCTGGCTCACTAGTGACATTTAGGATGTGGGTACAAGTCAAGAGTTCTCTCATGGGCTTATTGAACTCTGCCCCCTGCTTAGAGAGGCAAGAGAAGAGGTTCATATTCCCTGTAGAGA